>NC_000015.10:36307177-36610207 GCF_000001405.40 Homo sapiens | reverse complement strand
CTGTGCTTTGATGCAGCTGTCATCTGTTTTGTTTTTAATGCAAATACCTACTTACTGATTAAATATTTCCTATATTATAGTTTGTGAACCCTTTCTCGTATTTTGCTGATAAACTACTTTAGCAAGATAGCCAGTCTTTGAGACCTCTGAGATAATATTCAACCAGAGGAGCTCCTAAGGTACATGCCCTACTTTGATATGTCAGAGAGCTAAAGCATGTGGTCACACAGAGAGCTGTACAAGGCAGAAGCTCTCATCTTTTCTCTCTCAGACTGTAGAAAGTTTCCTTTTCACAGCTTTACTAAAACACCAGCCTCCAGATTGGCAGGGCATTATCCTGGCACTACATCCTTCTTAAAAGCTTAACACATCCTGTGTGAAAAACAGGAGCTCTTTCTATCCACATGGACAAACTGGAGCTCCAAGACAGTAAGTGACTTGCCCAGGGCCATGCTCTTAGCACTGCAGCAAAACTGGCTTTGGAAGCCAGACCTCCTACCTGGTCTGGATCCCCAGGCCAGTATCTTCTGGCCCAGGAAAGGTGATGGTCTCTTCCCAGCATTCAGCTAAAGAAATACATTTCATAAACCATATCTGGTTAATCACTTTGTAAAAGCAATAGAACTGAGTTTAAGTTTTTTCTCAAACTCCTGGCTTCAAGCGATCCTCCTGTCTCGGTCCCCCCTTTAAAGTGCTGGGATTACAGGTGTGAGCCACCACACCCAGCCCTTTAAGTTTTTTCATTTTAAGTTGATAGATCCCTGATTCTTTACAATTATAGTTATTTTTTAAGTAACATTTTTACTGGTTTATACAAGTTTTTATTTTTAGCACTTTACTAACATCACCCCTATCAAATTGTCAACTTAGATGATATGATCAAGATATAATAGGCCAGGTGCGGTGGCTCACGCCTATAATCCCAAAACTTTGGGAGGCCAAGGTAGGAGGATCCCTTGAGAACAGGAGTTTATGACCAGCCTGGATAACAAAGGGAGACCCCCATCCATAAAAATAATTTTAAAAACTAGGCCAGGCATAGTGGTTGCACACCTGTGGTCCCAGGCTACTCAGGAGGCTGAGGCAGAAGCATCACCGGAGCGTGTGAGGTTGAGGCTGCAGTGAGCCATGATCATGTCACTGCACTCCAGCCTAGGCGACAGAGCCCAAGACTCTGACTTAAAAAATTATCTATCTATCTATCTATCTATCTATCTATCTATCTATCTATATACACACATACATACACACACACAGAGATTTGTGTAAAACTTTAAATATATATATTTGTGTATAACTTTAAAAGGCAAAGCGAAAAGGGAAAAAATTAAAAGCATGCCTAACTTTTAAAGTTATATTCAGGAGATTCAGGAGATTGCTTGCCAAGTTTTTTTTTAATTTAACATACTGTTTAAAGAAAAACAACTTTTACTAAAATAGTGTATTGAACAATAAGAACTTCACTAAAGAGTGATAAAATTCTCCTCATAGAAAGGTTACAGATATCTCTATATTTATCTTCTGTACCTTCCTTCTGGAAGTAAGATCCTTAAAAAAGAATAACTCAAGGACACCATAAATAAAATAAAAAAGAGAACCAACAGACTAGAAAAAAATACTTGCAAATCACGTATATAAGGCTTGTATCTAGAATATGTAAATAACTCTTACAGCTCAATAATAAAATGACAAACCAATTAGAAAATGAACAAAGAATGTAGATAGACATTTCTTCAAAGAAAATATACAAACAGCCAATAAACACATAAAAAGATTCCCAACATCATTAGTCACTGAGGAAATAGAAATCAAAACCACAGTGAGATACCACTTCATACCCACCAGGAATATAATCAAAAGGACACAATACACAAGTGTTATTGATGATTCTGAGAAATTAAAACCCTCATACATTCCTATGGAGAAACGTAAAATGATGCAGCCACTTTGAAAACTAGTTTTATGGTTCCTCAAAATGTTAAACCATATGACCCAGAAATTCTGCTCCAAGGTATCTATCCAAGAGAAACAAAAACATAGGCCAACACAAAAATTTATACATTAATGTTCATAGAAGCATTTAATCATAATAGCCCAAAAAGGGAAACAACCAAATGTCTACAAACTAATAAAAGGATAAACAAAAGGTAGTATATTCCTACAATGGATTTTTCAGCAATAAGAAAGAATGAGACAACACGAATGAATCCCAAAAACATTACGCTACGTTAAAGCTAGTCGTATTGTATAATATCCATTATACAAAATGTCCAGATAGGCAAATCGGTAGAAACATCTAGTAGATTAGTGATCGCCTAGGACTGAACTGAGCCAGTGTGAGAATGGGGAGCCATGCCTGATGGGTACTGGGTTTCTTTTTGGGGTCGTAAAATATTCTGTAATTAGATAATGGTGATGGATGCCCAAGTTTGTGAATATACTAAAAGTCACTGAATTGTACACTTAAAAAGGGTGAATGTTGCAGTATGTGAATTGCATATCCATAACAGGTTATAATTGAAAAAAGAATACTTATATAACGTACAATACACTTAATTTTAAACTGGAATGAAGGAAAGACAGAAGAAGGAATAAAAGGAAGTTAAGAGGGAGGAAGGGAGGGAGGGAAAGAGACACACACACAGATCTCAAAGAAGTCAGTCATGATCGCGGGCACACTTCTAGTGGAACAAGACTCCAGATGGAATGCATATTAGATCATATGAAGTAAGCTATTATATTTTACATATTGTATCAGAAAACTTAAGGCATGTTTCTTTAAACTAATAAATTGGGTATTTCTCACAGCTTATTTTAAATACTGTAAAATTACCTCCTCGTATTCTCCTGTGAACTATATCATCAATGTTCTTCATGTTTTATTTTCCTGACACACCAGATAAGATGTTATTTCCATTGAACACAATCCTAGTCTTCAAACTATCCACATTATTTAAGGATGCCACTTCCCACTGATCCAACAATTTGATAAGATATTATAAGACTGGAAACAATGGAGAGGAGTGGAAGATCTTTCCAGTTCATTTTCATGGGTACCAGGCATGATTACACCTACTGTTCACAGATTTCCAGTGACACTTAAAATTTTAACAATGTACTTTTCCAACCTCACAAACGTAGGGACCAAGAAAACACCTTCTGTCACAAGTACCACTGATCAACCCAGAAAATGCCACCAAAATGGTAGTAGAGAGTTAATAAATCAACTCCTACTGCTTTAAACCTCAATTCAAAAGTCTCTCTGTGACTTCCAACCTGTTTGGGTTAATCCCTAGACAGGTGGCAACCTTACTAGAGTAAATTAACCACCCCCTAATTGTACAAAAAGAGCTTGCTGGTAATTGACAGGAACACAGCTAAATATGACTGTGCCCTTAGGGAATATAAAATTTACATAACCCCCTTAGAGGTTAAGGGAATAGTGACTTCTATAAACAGAGGATTTTAATTTAACAGAAAACATTTTAAAATAAAGTTTAGGTATACAGTCTTTTAAGGAATTGAAACAGACATCATAAGCAGGTAAATACAGAACTGCTGTGGGAGAAAATTAAATTATCCAAGACTGCTTTTACCCAGAAGCTTTTTAGCCTTTGTCCTGTATGGCTTATTTTGGATGATTTTTCAACCAGATAATAAAAAGCAATTTCATTTAAGTGCTGCAGTCACAGAGTTTACCACATGAAATCCTTCTAAGCTTCATTTCCGCATCTCTTTATGGGTACACCTCTAGCATTCGTTCATTCTTTGGGTAGCATACTTTCCTCCATGTGTGTGCAGAGTCCCAAACTTCATTCCCTTATTCTCATTCACTTCAAGAAGTGGTCAGTTTGTGGAAATGTAGAAGTCGGACTTTCAGTCATCTTTATGAGCCAAAAAGTGTATTTCTTCCTTTTCCATGAAAAAGAACAGAAATCACATGGGAGGTAGTATATCTAAAATAATGAATCAAAACTTTGAAAGACCCATGCTCAGAAACATATTCATAGTGTATATATTTATATATAAAATATATGTAACACTACACAATGCGTGATGCTTTTAAAAAACCAGCATCAAGGTTATCTACTGTGACTTCAGATCAGCAGAGAGAAGGAGGCAGATAGAATTCTGGAACATGAGTAAGATAACACTCACGTCAAAACAAAAAACAAAAAAAAAACTCCTTGTCCTCAAGCACGCTAATGAAGCAAGTGATAAGCTAGAGGTCAAATTCCCACTTCTACAATCAAAACTTATCATACAAGCTCTTGAAAAGGGAGTGCATCTGTCATATGTTAATGACTTCAAGCCGTTCACTGAACTTTTAGGTGTACAGGAAAACTTAAAAGCACTTCACAACTCCTTGTGGGTATAATTAGCCTGTTGGAATTGTTGGCAATTCTCATTCTGGGACTTTAAAAGGTCACTCCACTCTTTAAGATACCAAATTTGGAGGTACTCTCCCTTCTGGACAGATTAGGCACACCCTGCAATTAGTATACACAGCTGCACCTGTTGCAAAGCCTTCACTGATGTAAATGGGGACAGTCAACAACACTCTAAATTCTTGAGGGATTATTAGACCTTGGAAACCAAGTGATGAACAAATCTGATGTCTGCTATTGAGGTGATGGATGGTGGTCACACTCTGACTACACACAGAAGCCAAAATTTTTATTCTTTATAGACAATTCCAGCTAACGCGGAAACCTCCTCACTTGACTCTCTCAATCTTGCAAGGAGTCAACATGCAATTTTGCTATTTAACAGAACTAACTTTTTCATAATCTAGTTGAGTTTCTACAAAGAACAGAGAGAATTCCAGATTAAAAAAAAAATACAAGTTACAAAAACAGCATTATTGATTTATATAAACTTTATTAAATCATGGTGAAGTAAAAATGCTGCTAGTCACATATGGAGAAAAGTCTTTGCAGTTTATAAATTTGTAGGTCAAAGCTACTCAAATTCTCCTTTAATCTGTTAATCCTTTACAAAAGTATTATACACACTGACAATGATAGTGATTTCACGGCTATAGTACAAAATAATAATATAGATATTTAAAAGAAATGCATCTAGGAAAGAGGTATGAATTTAAGAAATCAGATTCAAAGTTTGAGAAAGTCTGATATAATCATCATTAAACAGTAGTTAAATCTTAAACATAAAGCCATAAATTATGTCCTTCCTTACTTCCGTCTTTCCTTTCTTTTTTAATGAAAGAGAAGCACAGAGGACAAGGGTCTAAATCCCCCTTTCTCTTTAAACCATGTGAATCTTAGATATTTTCTATGTCAGAAAACACAATTCTTTGGCAGCTGATATATGTGACCACATAAACAAAAAGAACTACCGTAAAGCCATTTTAAACTAAGATATTGTGCTTGGTAAATCTATTAGGCAAAGAGCCTCTTATTATCACCACAATATGTTAAATATCATCATATATGCTTAGGTGCTTTTTCTTCATATATAAATTCTTTTGAAAACATAATTGGAATTTTACAAAATAGGGAAAAAGCTTTTTTTAAAGGAGTTTTACTATATTACTGTTAAGTAGGTATACTTTCTTCTGAGTGTACTAACTATATGTGTAAATACTTTTAAAAGGTCAGCTGACATAATAATATAAAACTTAATGAGACTATTTCAAAATTAGCATTCCAACTTGAATAAAACCAACAGGAGTTGATTACATTCTTATTGCTCCCCAAAAGTATTTTCATCTGATGTTTACTCTAAAATGTGTGTGTGTGTGTGTGTGTGTGTGTGTGTGTGTGTGTACCTTTTAAAAGTCATAGAAGAACATTATGGAATTGATAATTTTTTTGGGTTTGCTGTTGGGTCTACATGGTAATCAAATTTAGAAAACCATAAATTACACTTAAATTTATTATTTACAAGCAATTAATTATAAAAAAAAAAAAGCCAGGTGGCTTTCATTACATAAATTACTGTTAATGACAGAGACCTCATGCTGCTACTGAATTTAGCATTTGCATGTGTCAAGTGCACATAGTGGTGTGTAACTCCCCTCTTCAGGGTGGAACCAAGCATTGAAGCAGAAGGCAAGCTGCCCAATTTTAAGATCACACCCGAACTGGTCCTTTCAGCCCCACATATTCCAAAGGTTTTAACATCTGTAGCAGAAAATCTGTCTTCCAATAACATTTTGTTGAAACAGCTTTAAAACCAGATATATAATTACTGATCATGAAATAGTGTTTACCTACACTTAGTTACTAAAAGTCCTATCTCTATGATTTAAATATTACCAAAAAAAAAGTTTAACCAATTTGCAGCAAACCAAGGCATCTATTAATATCTCACAAATGCAGTTTTTAAAATAATGTTTAATGTTGCCTCCCTACCACAGAAACTGTGCTAAATAAATGGACAATAACTCTTTTTTCAGGGTTCTCTGTTTTACTCAGCCTTTTGTAGTGATTCCTCCAACTCTACAGTAAGTATAAGTCCCTTCCAAAGACAAGGAAGAATTTTACCTCTTTATTCTGATAAAAAGCATGAGTTTCAATGATATAATAGGAGAGTAGGAGCTTATATGATACAGAAAGAAACACAGGAAGAAAATAAAAATAAATAGCAAATAAGTTTCATCCTATTTCAAACCCTATCCCAAATAGAGGCCTAAAGAAGTATCTCCAACCCCCTCCATCACTACCACCAGAAAAAGGAGAAAGTTTTATGAAAATGCTTTGTAAGCTATAGGATAAAATTCAAAAATTACTATAGTCTCCCTTTCTAAGCAAATAAGAAATGCTTTAAAATGTAACTGAAAATCCTAAATTGAGCTACCACTCTGGTTTTCAAGGATTAACTGCCTAGTTAGATTATCTAACCCTTTACTTTTCTTCTTCCTCTAAGAAGCCTGCCTTATAAACAACCACCAGAGAGACGGGTAACGGAAACAGGTTAGTTAAAGGGAATGTGTCTTTAGCTTCTGAGTAGTCAGTCTACATTTGGGGAGCACAGAGAAAAGGTGGGCATAAAATAAGGGCTAATAGTTAAGGAAGGAGAGTCTGCACTTACTAAGTACAAGGATAAAGTAACAAAATAAACTTTTTCAGCTAAAAGAAGGAGCTAATTTACTCACATTATCTTTGGCCAAAGTAATAATCCCAGAGGAGTGTGATTTGTATATTTAGCACCAATGATGCTGCCATGGCTCAAAAACACAACTTACCTTTTTTTTTTTTTGAGACGGAGTCTCTGTCACCCAGGCTGGAGTGCAGAGGCATGATCTCGGCTCACTGCAAGCTCTGCCTCCCGCATTCACGCCGTTCTCCTGCCTAAGCCTCCCAAGTAGCTGGGACTACAGGTGCCTGCCACCACGCCTGGCTCATTTTTTGTATATATATTTTTTTTTAGTAGAGACGGGGTTTCACCGTGTTAGCTAGGATGGCTCGAGCCTCGATCTCCTGACCTCGTGATCTGCCCGCCTCGGCCTCCCAAAGTGCTGGGATTACAGGCGTGAGCCACTGCGCCCAGCCCAACTTATCTTTAAGAATCACTTTAGAACCACTTTACCAGTTACACAAGAAAACCAACTTCACAGTCACATCTCACATCTCACCAAAATACAGGGTGGCCACCACGTCTAGAAACACAGATAAATACAATAAAGGATTTATTGTTATTGAATTATAACACATGGCAAAATAATTATGTCTCTAGAATTTATGGTCACCTAGTAACATCAGCCCCCTTATTTTTCAAACTTAATAATGCCTTTTGTCTCCATTCTCAAAAGTACCAAAGACACTGTGTCACACACTCCAAAAATACTTGCCAAAAGAGAAGTCCCAAAAGTGTTTTTGCTATCATTACAATGTGTCCGCAGTAGGAAATAGTATTCATTATAGCACTTTTAAAACTGTGAGCCATTAATTTATAGTTGCAATACATGTGAGGGAAAATAAAAGTTTGGTTATTGGAGGACATTAGAAGAGTTAAGTAGAAGACAAGATGCAGGCGCTGATAGCCTGGCAGGCACAGGGCACACCACCAACCAAAACCATCAGCCCCTTCCACTGGAGTGGCTGGAAGCGTTCACGCTGAGCACATACGCTTAAGAATTCACAGTAAGTGAAATTCAAACTCTTTCCCTCTTACTGTTACATAATAATTTTTCAACACCCTAACAAGATTTTTCATGTCTTCCTAATCCCAATTAGGAATAATAGTAGCTTTATCACTATGAATACAAAAAAAAATTGAGAGCTGCTATCGATAAAACCCTGAGTGTTTTGGTGTATGGTGCAAGTTAATGATTCAGTGATGCTATGATCGTGTCAGGTTCATGACGAATTTTCAGAGAGCAGCCCAGAAAAGTCAATCAGCACTGCTGTCTATTTTTATGATGCTGGAGGCAGTACAATGGTAGAGCTCACTAGCACTGTGTGCCAGGCAGGACACGAGGATTTTACTCATACGGTTAGGAATTCCAGTCCCAGAGAAGGCCAAAAGCAAAGGTCTAATGTAGACAGTTAAGATAAAGCAGCTTAGCTTGAAGAGGAAGCTAAAAATGTTCTGCTTTGGAAACTGCCATATTTGTGACCTCATGGCAGACTGAGAAAACCAAAGAGCTCCAGAAATCACACAAGTAGTTAGTTCACTGGGGTTTTACAATGCCCTGTGGCTGCTCAGTTGTGAATCCCCTGAAAAAACAAGTTCATGAGGTTTAATAATAGGTGACAGATCACCTCAGTAGGTCGTTTTGCAAAAATATCCATGCCAAAGACCACAGAGGTACCTGTTGGACATGGTCAAGGGTGGTAAGTATTACACTAGTCTCCATCTGAATCATGTAAGCTACAAGCCTAAGACTACGAAAAGAAAATGGGGTATAGAAAAAGGACAAATCTCCAATCACAAATCTACCTTGATTCCAGCCACTAAAATTTCACATAAAGGTCCCTTTTCAGTCCAAGTTACCCCGTGCTGAAGGGTAGGACAGTTACACATCGTACCTAGTCTCAACCCCTAATGAAATCCCAGTTGGTAAAGTCATTCACATTCTAAAAGGGAACCAACTCCTCACACTGCAGAATGTTAGCACTGCACAATAATCCACAGTTAAGTAAACTCTGAAAGGAACCTTTTACTTTTTTTTTTTTGATACCCCTACTTGGGACATCAAAACACTGTAGCATTACTTCCTAAAAATAATAGAAATTATGTTGAATCACATGAAACAAATTTACTCTCACTCACGAATAAAAGTCAATCACTAACTTAGAATTAACCATTGAAATAGGAAAAATGACATAAAAATGGATTGAAAAGTCTATCTACAAATGTTAAGGTTAGCATTCATCTAGGATCCATTTCTTTTGTCCAGTTTTACATCAAAGTTTCATAAACTACTGAAAACTATACTTTGATGGAAAACATGCCTCCAATACTAGTTCTCCTGGTATAAATGGTCCCAGAATTTATGTCTTTGACATGTGGCCACGGATTTTCACACTGCCACCAAAGTATTCAGTTAATATACAAATTTCTACTAAACCAAGCCATAAACAAATCTTTAACTGAAAAGCTCTGTCTACTCGTTTATAATCTGTTACCTGGAAAAAAAGCAGAAGGTCTCTCTAGCCACCTAATCACCATATCAATGACACATGCCACAAGAGAGAAGCACTAGTTTATTTGATTGATCATGGTAGATAAACTCCAAATAACAGAGAAATTAACAAATGCTTGACATTTGCTCAACATCCATTATTCTGACACTGCTTTCAGAATTTCAAAGCCTGGGAGTATGCTTAATCAACATTCATATTCCCTCGTGAACTACAGGCACCATATTGCACCCCGCCTTCATACTGATGAAAACTGCATATTGGCCATTTCCAAAATGTTCTGGGACTCCACACAGGGCCCCTTTTCTCCCTTGTTCCTGCTCTGCAGTTTTCTTTTAAACACTTCCAAGACAAAAGCATCTGCCAGTTTTTCTCTCTAGGGATGTATGCAAAATGAACTTAACAGTTTTAAGGCAGGAGTAACCCTCACATCTAAATTCATTCATAGGACAGAAAAGGGCCTAAGAGGCCTCTCCAGGGACAAAACCCTGCTGAAATTCTCCCCACACACAACAGTGGGAGCTTTATAAAATCTAAGTCCAGACAATTTCCAATTCAAATGCCCAACATAGCATGACCTTTGTCAGATCTCTGAGCCCAAGATGCACCCATGATTTTTTATTCTAACCAGCACAGACATTAGACAGGGCACTATTGCTAAGCAGGAGGTTCAATATTTGCATGCTCTTCTATTGTGAAAATGTAACAGTGACAGCACTGTGTCAAATTCTTTTCCCTCTAGAACTTTAACTCCATAGGAGAGGCATGGCTGACAGATGACTCCCCAACATCTGTGTTATGTACACTGCACAGCTGAGGAGCCCTGGATCACTGTCAGAACATCGTGGAGCTGACCTGCACCTTTCTTATGCCTTCTTCTTATCCCTGCCCCAACCCACAAATATATAAATATCTATAATACAAATAGTGCAATTTTTAACAAAATATAAAGATGGCAAGACAGATTAACATAATTTAGTCATTAAGCTGTTCACGTAGCAGCTCAACATATGTTGTATAAATGTCCTATACCGAATAATTTATCAGATCTGACACAGTGCACATCATATTGTTTTATTTAATACACTTACTAAAATTTCATGGATCAAGCATCACTTCTTAAAGCACTGAGAAAGCACTAGAAAATATTTATTCACCTCCTGTGATTTATTTTGATTACCCTTACAGCTACATGATAAAGTGGAACTCACAAAATTACAAGGTTAAGGTTTACACAGCCATTGCTTCATATACTAAAATATAACAAATGGCTCCATGTCTGTGTTATATTTTACTTTCATTTAGTGTTAAGTAGAACAGTAGACTAAGCACTTAGCTGCCTACTGAATATTTTAATATTTTTAAATAGGACTTAAATATCTTGGCCCAGAGAGTGGGAGCTTAAGTAACAATTTCAGGAAAGAATAGTAAGTCCTTTGCAGGGTACTAGTTAGAACAGTACTGCTCCCCTCCCAAAAAAAAAAAAAAAGCAAGTATGCTTCAAAGTCGCTGTCTCCTCAAAAGAGATCATAAAAATAAGCACAGGCCCACATCAGAAAGTTAGCAAGAATTCACTGAATGCATAAAAGAACACTACAATGCTAGGCAATACAGCGTACAGCTGGAAGATCAAATTACAGCAAAGCACACAGCTCCCATCCAAAGGATCTCACAATTAATTCAAATAGAAAGCAAAAGAAAGAAATGTATACATTCCAAATGAACAGGTAAAAGTAACTACCATGGCCAAAGCAAAACAAACAAAAAAACAAACAAACAAACAAAAAAACTCACTAAAGCTAATATTCAAGAGACCAAAAAAAAAGATGGGGGATGGACAGATGAGGAAAGGAAGGGCAGAAAAGGAGAGGGTGGAAAAGGGAGGGACGGACAGAAGGAAGGAGAGAGGAAAATAGAAAGGGAGGAAGGGAGGGAAATAGATTAGACGTGGCACTTGAGATTCTTCACACTTCAGATTCTTTTTCATCACTTTTCTCCTAAAATGTTTTATCTGGGGGCAGGTCTCCAGGACAAGGAAAATGAAATGAAAAGGATGGTAAAAAGATCAGCAATGGGAGAGGAGCTGAGAGCCTCAAAAGGCAAGGTCAATAGGGCTTTTCAAAAAAAAACATGAATGCATGTTGGCCTGATCATGTCTGGGAGAACGATTAAAAACTTTATTGTATCAACTGCCTTAGGAAAGAATACTAAGCAAAAAACCTTTTGTTTCCAATGGACTATTTTGTTTAAAATGTAGTAAAAGTGAAATGAAGACAATAACTAATAACTAATAATAACTAAGTCAGGTCAGGTGTGGTGGCTCACACCTGTAATCCAGGCACTTTGGGAGGCGGAGGTGGGTGGATGGTTTGAGTACAGGAGTTCAAGAGCAGACTGGGCAACATAGCAAAACCCCGTCTCTACTAAAAATACAAAAAATTAGCCAGTTGTGGTGGCACACGCCTGTAGTCCCAACTACTTGGGAGCGTGAGGTGTAAGGATCACCTGAGCCCAGGAGGTCGAGGCTGCAGTGAGCTGACATTGCACCACTGCATTCCAGCCTGGGCAACAGAGTGAGACCCGGTCTCAAAAGAATAATCATAATAAGTTTTACGTCCATTTATGAGTGATAAAATAAATGAGAATTGTTCCCAAATATCTACAAAATAATAATCTTCTCACAAAAAACACTCTCAGGTTCCCAAAGAAGCTCCATATGTTTCAAGGTGTAGATACTACAATCCAGAAGCAAGGCATCAGCTTCTCAAAAACTTGACCTTACCATCAGATGACAGGAGAACTGACAGTCAATGAGATACTTCATGTGGAGCAAAGAAACCACAAAGCCATATAATATTGTATTGCAAGTCAGGCAGCAGAGTGACTTTAGATGAATAACAGGTTATTGTAAAAATACTGAAGGTTCTATCATACTGCACCGTCAGAAAGGAAAGATAAAGACGATGAAGTCAAATACAGTTCAATATAAAAAATAGTAAAGTTCCAATCTCCCAAAAGAAAAGAACGAAAAATAGGAAAATAATCTTGCTCAGTTTAATGCATGGTGATAATGGTACCTGGAAAATCCTAAGTACAGAATAATTTAACCCTTACAGCTTTATGTCTGAGCAAAAAACCACTTTAGCCATAATGCAGGGTTTATATGAAAGTGAGTGCCAGCATTAACAGATAGCTTTAAGAGTTGGGATGGTGGTAGAGAGGTTGTGTATCAAAAAATTCAGTAAGAGGTCACTGAGAGCATTGAGAAAAGAAAGAGTTTGAGCATTGCAAATTCTTGCTGGGACCCCTATCATCACCATCACTCTGGCATTTTATTTCCAAACAAGCAATGTATTTTACCTTTCTGAGATTATTTTCTGGTTACAAGCCAACCATTATGAACCTTTCAGTGAATCACCGAATAGGGCACTTAAAGGGATAAACAATTATAAAAATAACTCTGTCATAGGCACATACATTTTATTTTATTTAGTGATGTAATAAGCTTAGGGGCATATATCAGGTCCAAAATGGTCTTGGTCATTAATTTAAGCAATAAATCATAGGTCTTGCCAACAATGACGGCAAACAGATGCTAACAAGGAAAGGTATTATTTAATATTGCCACGTGTTATAAAAATGTAAGTGTGTTTAAGACATGTCTTAAATTTTTATAATAATATGCATTTAATACATTACTGTTTTGACACATGCAGGAATCAGATTTATAGGTCCCATTCTGTAGCTTCTTCTTCTGTGAACATGAGAGCATATTCTGGGTTTTTTTTGTTGTTGTTGTTTTTTGTTTTTTGTTTTTTTTAAAGAGGGGTTTATAGTGCATGTTTGCAACTACATCTAATTGGTTGTCTTGCTGTTTTGTAGTAAATAATGTCAGCATTGAAACTCATTTAAAAGAATGAATCTACACACTTTGCCTGAATTTGAAAATAGAACATTTAAAAATTATAATTTTTAAAGAAACATTACAGCATAAGAAATACATAAGAGCACTTTATATCAAGTTGGCAACTAATTTTTTTTACATTCATTTTGAACTGTTCTGCATACCAGGCAAAAATTACTACCTTAATTAATAAGTTTACAAGTAAAGTTCAATATTCAAAAATTTGGAAGTAACTAAGAAAAACTCCACTTTATATCTTCATGCAAAAATCCTAAGAATCAACAGTAGTATACCAAAACACAAAGTAATTTAAAATGGAGTCTTTCTATCCATAAATTTGGCAAATTATGCCAAACCATAATATTCCCCCTCTAATATTTCCTTTCAGAGCAGTAGGTTTATATTCCTTTGCCAGCAGGTCGAATCCTCCTAGGGAGAGGGCTTGTGAGAAAAGGGAATTAGGGGCTAAAAATTTAATCCAAAACTTCTTTAAAAAAAAAAAATGAGCTTTTTTTTTTCACATCAACAAGATACTGACTCTACTAAATATATTTTTTGTTAGCAATTATTTTGTTTGAGTTTCCTTTTCAATCAACTCTCCTAGCTGCCAGCATGGTCTTCCCTCTTTTTTGTGTAGGCAAGGAGTTCATTCTTTAGAATACTTGAGGAAGCAGTGCTCGGAGTATGGAAACTAAATTTTCTTCATTAAATCTACTGAAGCAGATATTAAAAATGCATTTAATATACTGGCAATGGTCGGTGGGCACCGCTGACTGTGACAGGCCAGTTACTGATGATATGCCGTCAGATGGCCTTCTCAGCAGGCGCCTGGGTCTCAGGCTGCTGAAGGACAGCAATATCTTCCCTTGTGTGTAAGCTCTATTCATCTCCCAAGTATTTACTAAATCACAGGCCTCTGCACACATAGCCCACGTTTTCAGCGTATGCTAACAAATGATGGATGGCCTCGTCAATTCGTTATGTCCTGAAAGCATGGTTTCCTGCCATTCCAATCATCAAACCTCAGTGCTTCAGAGCTGATCAGTCCCAGGGAATATATTTTGCAGGCTCGATTAAAAGAGTAGAAGTTCTTTCCATTAGACTCTCTGGCACTCTCCTCAACTATTTGTTGTTTCAACCAATTATTAGGGCAGACTATTCAATAGGTGTTCAGGTACTATAACATGAGCAGGTTTTTTCCTGATGTTCACTAAGGTGTAATTTCTTTTATGACAAATCAGTGGAGGTATTTGAAAATAAAATATTTGATAGAGAAATTCATGTTTTAAAACAATTTTCCTTCTAGGTACAGTGGGCAAAACCT
This sequence comes from Homo sapiens, assembly GCF_000001405.40. Classification (NCBI taxonomy): domain Eukaryota; kingdom Metazoa; phylum Chordata; class Mammalia; order Primates; family Hominidae; genus Homo; species Homo sapiens. The sequence goes on along the minus strand of NC_000015.10, from coordinate 36,595,368 downwards.
TAAAAATACATTATATCATCATATTATTTTATATTATATTATATTATATTATATTATATTATATTATATTATATTATAATGTAAGTGTATTAGCCAATGCACTTCAAAGGAACTTCCAAGGCAATAGCCATTCTGTAAATCATCTAAGCCTTTCAAGACAATAATTCCCACACATTCTCTTAATTATAATCTAGATAAAGGCACAAACTGCTTAAAAATTCTCCTGACAGTTCCAAAGTTAGATGACAAAAGTTCAACTTGTCAAAGAAAAAAATCTTCTTAAAAGAACATTTATTTTCAGTTCCAAGGTTACATATGTCAGTTGTCTTTTCCATAAGCCATAAGAACATTTTTTTCTCTATAGCTTATCTATGGAACAGAAAATAAATAAAAGCACAGTCATACCTTTTACTCAGAAACAGTAAACTTCATAAAAACAGATGAACTTACCACAACTAAACAGAAAGCTGAGCTTTGAGGAAATGGGGTGGTATTAAAGAGCCAAACAACTTGCTATAAATAAGCTTCTTGAAATGCTAAAAAAAAAAAATTTTAAGTGCCGGACTCCCATTTAGCCAATAGCCACATAGGCACCAATACACCTCCAGTCAGTGTAAGCTCCACCACACTGTCCTGCCATTCACCTCAACCTTAACCTCAAGATTAAGCTCATTTTTATTGCGCACAAAGGTCATCTGTATTAGGTCAAAATTCAAAGTCCCTTGTCAGAAAAGGTTGATATATTCCAACCTTTCCTTCTCCATGCATCAAATTTTTCATGGTAAAGTCATATTCAGCAGACAGTATATTCAGCAATTTATTGTGCCATTGTAATACAGTGCAGAATACAATCGTCCAAAAAGCTATCACATGAATAAAATATTTTTCATGACTATGAACCAAATCTAGACTCCTTACACACCTCTAACAGAGGAAATACAACTAACCAAGTCTTGTTTCCATGCTTCAGAAGAGTTATATGGCAAATAATTGTCCCTAAAATATAATCTATAGCATAATTATGCTTTTGCTTCCATAGTCTTTGGGAATAGGCAACTTTTTTTCAAAGTGTCACTCAAATTTTTGAATGGTATTTTTTTTAATGCAAAAACATCTCACCTGTTTTAATACTTTTATTCAAATCTGGCCTAAGCAGTTTAACTGAAGTAGGTCTAAACCTGAAACCCTCTCTTTGATCTAGAACCTAGAGGAAGATAGGCTCTATGATACAATGAAAACTAAAGGAGAAAAATTACTGTCTTGCCCAATTCATTACTATTACAATTATGTGATTAGCAGAACTGCAAAAATAAGATAAATTAAAAGAAAACTTTGAAGGCACCATTCTAGAATACATCGTAATTAGTAAAACCAAAGTCTTAAGGAATAATCAATCCATTCTTTTTAAGAGTTTATGCAACTTCTTTGTGTTTACCACAAGGTCTTTTCACAATCAGTATGTTAGTATGATGAATGGTTTCAGATCATTTTAAAAACTCTCATTCAGCCAGGCGCGGTGGCTCAAGCCTGTAATCCCAGCACTTTGGGAGGCCGAGGCAGGCAGATCACAAGGTCAGGAGATCGAGACCATCCTGGCTAACACAGTGAAACCCTGTCTCTACCAAAAATACAAAAAAATTAGCCGGTCGTGGTGGCGGGCGCCTGTAGTCACAGCTACTCAGGAGGCTGAGGCAGGAGAATGCTGTGAACCCAGGAGGTGGAGTCTGCAGTGAGCCGAGATCACGCCACTGCACTCCAGCCTCAGTGAGAGCGAGACTCCATTTCAAAAAATAACAATAATAATAACAACAAAATAAAAACTTTCATTCTTCAAATTTGATTAATACCTATATTGAACACTAAATCAATGTTCACACTGACGTGATGATCTAGGGTATCCTATAAAATCTCCTTGCCCTGGAAGACTTACACCTGAACTTACATATTTACTGGAGTCAAGCTACTACCTGATAGAGAAACCCTGACTCTAAACCTGGTACTCACTCAAGTATCTTTCATAAATGCATAACCCCCTTCTTACTAAGTTGAGACAAAACAGTAAAACAGCTTCCAGATATGAGTGGTTGCATTTGAGAAAAGTAGACAAGAAAATACTTGGAAAGGGGTGGTTTTAGGCAAAATATTTTCAGTTCTAATATGCTGAGTCTAACTATCATAACCATAAATACCACTGCAACAAGCAACCATGATTAAGTAATGGTTCCAATAATATAACCGCAGTAGCAACCAGTGTAGTATCAGGAACCGTGCTAATCATTTTATATGTATTATCTTATTTCAAGTTCATAACAATTCCATTTTATAAATAAGGACTCTAAGGCACCAAAAACTGAAGAAACTTACCAATTAGGTATCTTCCCTCTGTTTTTATACTGGAATAACTACCAAATGAAAATGTAACATCTGAGCTTGAGTTTTTCTAGAAATAATTTCTGACATGATAAACCCTCGGGTGTACCACTAGAGCATTTCTAAATTCCAACAGAAAGGAAAGAATCACTGTAATGTCCCTAAACTTAGCTAATTAATCAATTTTAAAAAGGATTCACTTTTCTAAATGAGACATGTATATATGGCTTTAAAAAAAAAAATCAAGCAGCATTCTTTAGGCAAGTTCAATCAAATGTCCATTATGAATGTACCATAATACTTACAATATACTAGGTACTCCTCCTAAGGCCCAAGACTATAATTCCAGCTCCCATGCTAACTATAGTAAGGGAAACATAAGGAGAAAGCCCAACAACCCAACAATGACAAAAATCTTATAAGAATGAACGAGTTACACATGGTAGTAGTGTGAGTCTCTTTCAGAAAAAAGGCTACAAAAATCAGAACAAAGGGGGTGTAAAAACATCTATGAAAGACATCCCTTGGAGCCATAAGGTACAAAAGTCTCAGACTGGCGATAGAATGCAGTGGTGTGTGAGGCTTAACAACTGCCTTTGGTAGTGAGGGGTGGTAGGGCTGGAGAAGGGGCAAGCCCAGGTTGTACCATTTGCCAATTTCTGTGGTGTAAATACTCCTACTGTGGATGAATTTTAAGCTACCAATGTGAGGTCGCGGTTTGTAGAGTCTGGAAAAGATGCTCACCATCAGCTCTCACAAGCTGGAAAGAGCACCAGCATCCACTGGCTGTAGGCCAAATTCAGCCCACAGACTTGTTCTGTTTGGCCAGGAAAATGTTGGCCCACACAGTGCTTTAAAAATTCAAACAAATTGACAACATTTAAAACTCAGGATATTTTATTTTTTCTTAAAAAAAAAAATCAGATCTAGAGCTGCTTTCTAAAGAGTAGAAGGCCTGGCAGCACCAGGCCCACATTCCTGCATGGCACTGGATGGCTGGCATAAAGTGGCCACTGCCTTGTTGGTACACACAACTGTACTTTCACCTAGCTGCAAAACCAACCAGGTCAGCTTCATTCATTCACTTGTTGTTGATACTTGCCTGGCCCCTAGAGGGATGGGAGTCTGTTCTCTAATTTAAAAGCATGAATGGAGAGTTTTGCATCCAGATATGGAACTTTGGTCAAATCACTGGGTAGGACTCCTCCCTCTGCATCTGCAACATTAACAGATTTGACCAAATTATCTCTAACTGCAATCTCGATCCAACACCGGCTTGCTTTATAAGTCACTGAATCTGAATAATAAGAGAGGTATGCAGGTCCCTCCCAAGCAATGTTTTATGATCTATCTGCATGTAGAGAGTTCCAAGTGCACCCACCAACATGCAAATAAAAAACTGAACATGTTATAAACTTGAGGTTAAATGTATTTTTATCTTTATATATTTTAGTTGTCCTCAGAAAATGAGAATCTAGATAATTTTAACTTCATCCATTAGGAAACAGCTATTTGTTACATACAGGCTGTTACATACAGGCTGGAAGAGTCTATGGGCTTTTTAACGTTATACAAGGAACAGTCTGCCTCATATTCCCAGTCCATTTACCATCTTAGCTAAATGGGGCTCGAAGTGTAAGTTAATTTCAAATTTTATTAGCTTTCCCTACCAATATTATCAGCAAAAACAAATAGCAGTGTAATATACCTTAAGCAAAGGATGATATCAGCTTGAGAGAGCTGTAGACAGAAACAAATTTTTTTTAAAAAGTGCCAGTCTAACTTCATGTGTAATGTAGAAGACACATTCAAATGACTCTTCACCTCCCAGATCTCAACCACAAGAGAAGCCACTTACAAGAGCCCTATAGAACCACGTCATCAGCTACAGAATCACAGGAAGATAAGGTGTGCCACAGGCATGAATGTCCAACCACAAAATTTTCACCCTGCATCTCTATTCATCCTAAAACATTCCTAGATTAAACAAAGTTCTATCTGAGAATAATCATAAATATATATGACAAACACTGATTCATAAATGTGCTGAGTATAAATCTGGATCATTCATACTAGGCTGATCTGAGGATGCACAAGTCAGTTTGCTGGTAAGTGAGCTTAGCCAACACCGGCATCCCAAAGCTTAGTAGACCTTTCCCATCCTATATAGTGCTAACTGCAAACTTGGGGATTTTCAATAGTCTTAAGTGATAAACCTTGTAAATATCAATGGTCTGCTATGCCTCCTATTTCATGTAACAGAATAAACACAAGTTCAGAGTTTATATCTCATCCTTTTTTGTTCCTGGAACAAATGACAGGCCTTAACTAACAGTGACTGAAAATAATTAAAAATAAGTATATGTTGGGGGTGGGGAGCAATGATGATATACCAGGTATTTTAAATCTTAGTCTTGGATATGACGACTACTCCCAGGACAACCTCAGAAAAAGACTGGGCTTCGCACAGAATTGCCTCAATTAGCAGGGGCCGGTGTTTGGTCAGGGAAAGACCAAGTACTTACATATTTCATTGAACAGCTATATTAAGAGATATGAATCTACCTTACTTTTTTCCTCTACTCGAATTGCTTTGTTTCAAAATATTTATTTTCATAGTCTTGAAGTTATTGCTTTAAGTATAATAGCTTTAAACATTTTTTAGCAACTGAATCATAGTATTTCAAACACATAAAAGAAATAGGTCCTGAGAAAATTTAACATTTTACTTTGGATGAAAAATTGCAGAGCCCTTGTTATCTCAATGAGATCCCAGCTATTTATGAGGTCACAGTTTGAACACCACAGTAGGTTAAAAAAAGCAAACAAACTTTTACTTGCTGTCACGAAGCCAGAATGAATAGAAAAGATCACCCTTCAGCCAAGAGACGTAACTTGAAAGTGACAAGCCATGTCACTGTTCCTTGGCATGAAGGAAGCTCTGGCTTACGAAGAAGGACTACTGACTCTTCACTATATGTTTCATGAAAGGGTAGGGACGGGAAGAGAGGAAAGAAAAGGTGAAGCAGGTATTAGTTCCCCAAAGTGGCTAGAACAGGGTTGGATTTGTGATCAGCATGTACCATCTTTCATACGTGGGTCACAGATTGTTCTACTCTAGCTTCAAACCCATGGACCGACCAAACAATCCAGGATCTAGCTGTGTTCTGTTCCCCTAAGAAATGGAGAACTGTTGGCCGGGAGCGGTGGCTCACGCCTGTAATCCCAGCACTTTGGGAGGCCGAGGCGGGCAGATCACGAGGTCAGGAGATCGAGACCATCCTGGCTAACACGGTGAAACCCCGTCTCTACTAAAAATACAAAAATTAGCCGGGCGTGGTGGCGGGCGCCTGTAGTCCCAGCTACTCGGGAGGCTGAGGCAGGAGAATGGCGTGAACCCAGGAGGCGGAGCTTGCAGTGAGCCGAGATGGCGCCACTGCACTCCAGCCTGGGAAGCAGAGCAAGACTCCGTCTCAAAAAAAAAAAAGAAAAAAGAAATGGAGAACTGTCATTCAGTTAGGAGTTTCACCCTAGCAGCTTAAATGTATTCACTGTATATACAGCTCACTGTTTAAGCAACTTGACAGCAGAATGGAGAAAGGAGAAACATCTTCAAGTATACATTTGAAAACATCTCCCTTCAATAAAAAGACAATTAAAAATAAAGAAGCATTTACTCTTTACCTATCTTCTATATGATCTTTATACCAGAGCATGACTTCATATATTAAGGTCACTTTTCAGATTTAATCTAGTAAAGCATATATTGATTGTTTTGTTTCTAAGGAAAATTCAACCAATACGGCAAAACTGTACAAAATGTGTAATAAAAACAATGGCAAATTCAGTCGACTTTGTCAAAAGTTAAATAATAAAATATTATTAAACTATACTTCTATTGAACCTTTTTTTCCCCTAGAGAAATATATAATTTCTCCTTATTGCACAAGCAATCATTCTGGTAAGGGTTATTACTTAGTAAACTAAAGTTTGATGCCTGAATATAGATTTTTTAAATAAAGCCAATATTCTAATTACATGAAAATTCCCCCCAAATTAATAAGAAATATAATTATAGCATGTGGATTCTTCTTAGAATAACATTATCTGAGGCTTTCTTCAAATACTCCTCTGCGAAGAATTCAAGCTCATATCCCTTTCGCAGCTACACAATGCAAAGATGCACAAATATCTAATAAAAGCTAAACACTTCTTTTAGAAAGTGAAGGGGCCATACACTAACATAATAACCTTTCAGAAGAGTCTTTAAAGCTAAGCTACAATGTAGCAACAAAGTAAAAAAATAATAATAATAATACAGAAAAAAATGTAAAAGATCACTAAAGAAAACACATGAAATAATCATACTCTTTTCTTAGACATTCCTACCTAGTCCAATGATTAATACAGAAATAACCCTAGATATCCTTCCTGGGTGTATGAATATTAATTTTAAAGATCATGTAAATTAATTCTATTTCTATGGCAAAACCATCAGTAGAATTTCCAGTTCAATAAAAGCCTTTCTCTCTCTTTCTAAGCTATTCTCACTTATTATTCTGGAACTCAGGTCCACCACAAAATTATCAGAAGTGTAGAAAATTGACCACAAACTGAGAATCAACTTTCATTTCAATTGAGAAAAACAAGGCCAATAGGAATAGTATTTCAATTAAGTATACCAAGCCCTACGGTATTAATTATGCATTGCAATGCTCCCTCAATTCTTAAAAATCAGTGAATTTAGGTTTAAAAGGTTTTTTTAAATGCCATTATATATCACTGTGAAATACTTAAAGAAGTTTCTGTTAACGATACAATATTCAACTGATAATCAAATCTTACATGTTCAGCCATACAACCAACTGTTCCATATAAACATTTTCATTTTCTGTAAATCTACTGCACTTTGTTTCAAAGCAAAATTGTGTTTTATGTTTCAAAAGGTTACTGCTCAGACATTTCTTCTACTGTAGATCAGCTACTACCTTCTAACAAAAATCATATTTACTTTTCATTAAAAACTTACGGAGAGCTCTACACTGCGCTGTTTTACATGCCTTATCTCACTTCACCGTCACCACAGCCTTAAGGAACTGATCAAGAAGAGACAACAGAGCGAGAAAGAGATTCTGGAGCCTGACTTTACTTGGGTTTGATATCCTGCTTCCTCTACTTCCTAGCCGTCGGACTTCACCTCTCCTTTTACAGATGAGACAACTGTGACTCAGATAAAAAGAGATAGAGCTTTTTATTTCTATCATTTCTCAGGAAGAAACTGTGATAGGAGGCAAGAAGAATGGAATACGAGACTCCCTCTGGAAAGAGCAGGCATCTTAAATGCATCATTTATTGGGGGTGGGAGGGATTGTTCAAAAAAGACAACCATAACCAATGGCAGCACCAAGTAAACCAAGCCACCTCAAATAAGCATAAGAGCCAAGTAAAACTGCTGTGCTTGTCCCAAGCAAGTTTTTTAGCTACTCCACTCCTTACCAGATTGGACTCCTAAGTTCACCACCAAGAACCACTAAGTTCAACACTGTACACAGCACAATACACAATATGGCCAGCTTCAACTCATTTTCTGGTAAAGAGAGGTGAGATTTCAAGAAGATGACTAAGTACATTGGTTTAAGCACAGGATGACCACTCAAACAAGTTTTTACCTATTACTTTTGAGATCTTACTAGGAACAGCAATTTAAAGCACCTCATATGAGTGAATGGTTGCCTATGTCATAATCCAAGAGTAGGAAGACAGTAGGAGATATGGGCCAAGATAGAAAAAAAGAAAAAAAACATGCTTCAAAATGTGGAAAACACCATTAGAAAAACCTAAGCCAGGATCTCTAAGGGCAAAGATATATCAAAATGATACAGATATCTATTTGCTTAGCGATTTATGGTATCACGAGTTTGAGTCATTAGTACAGCGACTAAATAACCAATATATGGTAAGGGAACTCAAGGAAAAATTAAACTTGTGCCAGAGGGCTTGGTCTACTAGCAAAATAATTCCCAACAAGGTATATTCTACTTATTTGAATCCTAAGAATGCTACTTAACCATATCTGAACTAACTATTCAACGAATCCTTTGGCTTCTAACATTCTATGATTCTAATACTTCATAGCTATTGGATGTGTCTTACACTAGTTTCCTCAGACTACAAGCTATCCAAAATTAGTTACTACATTATCCTATTTTGTTTTGTTTTATTTTGTTTTTAGAAATATGTTGCCCATGCTGGAGTACAGCTATGTTGCCCATGCTGGAGTACAGTGGCTATTCACAGGCACAATTATAATGCACTGTAACTTCAAAACCCTGAGCTGAAGTGATCCTCACATCTCAGCCTCCTGAATAACTAGGACTACAGGTGCCCAGCTATTTTGTTGTTATTGTTGTTGCTGTTTGTTGTTGTTGTTTTAATACCCAAATAGTGCCACAAACATAGTGAGCACACTATTATAGACCACATGCTAATTAAGTGGTGAAAAACTCTACAAATACCAATGAAAATCGTGGGCTAATTGTAGGGTAGTTCGTTTCACATAAAATGGTGGCAGTGGATGACACTGGTTAAATGAATATTCTGGTGAGAGAAATAGAGAATCACTATTAAGCAAATACCAGTAATAACTGCTTCATGAAAAAGTCAATGGATGCTAAAATCAATGGGAAAAAGGGTGACGAGAAACAAGAAATTTGCATAGTCTCAAAGTATATCCCCACAAGGTATTTATTAAAAGGAACAATAGTAACTTTATAGTGCAGTTGTAATAGTTAAAAAAAAAAAAAAAACTCAAAGGTAAACCCACACCAAGCAAACTGTGGAGTGTCTCAAAATGAAGAATTAGGGAAGAGGTACTCGAAGGTTCTAGGAGCCGGAACTAGTCATGAGGTGGTCCTGCTAGATGTTGGTCAGACTTTGTCAACTAGGCAGTTTCTGGAACAGAGTTTATGAGTATGGGTTGAGCACATAAGGCTGAATGAGCTCATGATAAAAGAGTTCAGGTTTAGTCAGTAATTGTAGTTTGGTCAGGTAGAGCCTGTTTTGTGAGTCACAGTACAGGTTAGCAAGTTATGGTTATATTTCCACTCTCAAGTAATACATATGTAAGACTCTATAGTAAAACATACTAGTTCTACTGTACACTTCCAATTTTTCTTCTTGTCCTTATGAAGCAATGCCATTGTCATATATCACAAAATTATTTTCCTATTATAAAACACCTTTAGTTTTATTTGTTGATTATAAAGCTATTAAAGAGCTTCAGAATTTAAAAATAATAATAATAATAAAAGTAACATTAGAACTACCAGCTCCTGAGCACAAACCAAGGCAGACACCACCTTAATCAAGTGAATAAGGTTAACGTCTCCAATAATAAGACATATGAAGTCACAGACCCTGATGTAATGCACTAAGTAGGCCACACCATCACTTCCAGGGTACTCTTGCCAAAAGTGTTTACCCTCAATCTAACCATGAGAAAATAAACATCAAACACAAAGGAAAGGACATTCTATAAAATTGACCAGTACTCTTCAAAAGTGTCAAAATCATAAAAGACAAAGAAATAGTAAGAAACTGTCACAGATTGGAAATGACTTAAGACATTACAATTAAATCCAACGTGTGATCCTAGAAAAGGGACATCAGTGAAAAAACTAGCAAAGTTCAAAAAATGTGTCTGTAGATTAATGATATTGCATTAAAATTAACTTACTGATTTTGACAATCGTACCATGGTAATGTTAACATTAAGAGAAGCTGGGTGAAGGGTATATGAGAATTCTCTGTAATATTTCTGCAACTTTTCTGCAAGCTTAAAATTATCCCAAAAACTCTCCCAAAAGTAACAAATAATCAAATATATATGTAGTGTTTGGGCAGGAAATTATAATGTAAAATATAACCTTATAAGTAACAGCTGATTGGACCAGGGGCTTCTAAGAATGTCCACAAGAAAGATTAAAAAATGTCAATCAATAAATATGTCCTCAGCAAGTACTTCAAATGTAGTATGTCCTATGTTTCAGGTGCCAAAGGGCCCATTACAGAAAGTCTTCAAATAACGTTATTTTGTTCAACATTATTTTGTTATAAAGTTGATGAGTATTTTTAAAAATTGTTTCCTGGCTGGGGCCACTGTCTGTGTGGAGTTTGCATGTTCTCCTGACGTCTGCGTGAACTTTCTCCCAGTACTCTGGTTTCCTTCCACATCTCAATGATGTACGTGTCTGCAGAACTGGCATGTCTAAATAGCCCCAGTGTGAGTGAGTATGGGAGTGTGTGTGAGCGTGTCCCGTGCTGGGATGGCTTCATACCTTGCAGCCTGAGCTGCCAGAGGCCACTCAGAATCCTAAACTGGAATAAGCGGGTTGGTAAATAAATGAATGAATAAGTGAATAAATGAATGAATACAAATTACTGTAAAATAAAAATTCATAAATCTATGATAATCATACAAACGCATGACAATAAAGATGCAGTACACAAGTGCTCAGCAAGCTCACCACATTTGTTATTGTTTGCTTTTTGTTTTTTGTTTTTAGAGACAGAGTCTAACTGTTGTGGCTCAGGCTGGACTGCAGTGGCACGTTCCTAACTCACTGCAGCCTCAAACTCCCAGGCTTAAGCAATCTTCTCACCTTAGCATCCTGAGTTGCTGGAACTACAAGCATGTACCACCACACCTGGCTAATTTTTAAATTTTTTTGAAGAGACAGGGTCTCGCTCTGTTGAACAGGCTATTGTTTGCTTTTGAATACATGGTGGTAAGAGGTGCTTCTCACAAATTTCACTTTGCAAACACATACTCTTAGATTTAATCCACCACCACTATGACCACCATCACTCACTGATTCACCAAAAATTGGGTAAATAATTATCTTACTTGTTTAGGCTCACATTAATTTCAATGTTTAATATTAGATGTGTTTTGGGTCTTTATTTTATTTTTTATGGTTTTTTTGAGACGGAGTGTTGCTCTGTCACCCAGGCTGGAGTGCAGTGGCGCCATCTCAGCTCACTGCAAGCTCTGCCTCCCAGGTTCATGCCATTCTCCTGCCTCAGTCTCCTGAGTAGCTGGGACTACAGGCGCCCGCCACCGTGCCCAGCTAATTTTCTGTATTTTTAGTAGAGACGGGGTTTCACTGTGTTAGCCAGGATGGTCTCGATCTCCTGACCTCGTGATCTGCCCGCCTCAGCCTCCCAAAGTGCCGGGATTACAGGCTTGAGCCACAGTGCCCAGCCTTGGGTCTTTATTTAGAAGTTTGGTGATGTTATTATGACCAGAAATATGCTATAGGAACTTAATTCTTGTTTATAACAATTAGCATATGGTAAAATTGCTCTCATTATACATTGTTTCACTTAAAGTTGCAGTCTCCAAAGCCCTACCGAAGACATTAAATGATGACTTACTGTATGGTAAAACTGTAGAAACGAAAATAGAATGAGGGTGAATTTTGGAGTTGTAAGATATTACAGATCACAAAGTCCTACTCCTTCATTTTAAAGTGAAGGATTCTGAGACCACGTAAAACACAGTGACTTGAAAAAACATAATTTTGTAACTTCAGTCAAAACAAGCCATGAAGAAGTGAGGCTACCCCAGAAGTCACAGTAAGAGGAAAAATTAAGCTGGAGAAAAAATTAAGCTACATCTTCACCTCTCAGCATTTACTAAAATAAATTTCAGCCAGAAAGATTTAAAAATTAAGAATAAAAAACAAAGCCATAAAGAATCTAAAAGAAAATTTAGGTGAAATATTTTTTTCTTTCATATATTAGGACAGAAAAGAACTTCCTAAGTATAAAGGCAAAAATGTCAGAAAAAAAAAGCATACATTTAAAAGTTAACCATATCAAAAGCAGAACAATATTTAAAATCAAACAACTGAGAAAATTTATGCAACAAATATGACATATATAGGACCAGCATCCTGAACATATGCAGATCAATAAGTAATAAATCAATAAACAATAACAACAGACATGCCAACAGAAAATTAGGCAAAGGATACCAAACAGGTAATTCAAAGGAAAATTAAGTGGTCAAAAAAATTTGGAAAAAGGTACAACCTATAATAATTTTTAAAATGCTAACTACAAGATGTCATTCTTGATCGAACATATTAAAGATTAAATAATGACTCTTCTCAATACTGGAAAAGTTGCAGAGACAGAGACTCTCACGCTCTGCTAGTAAAAGGACTAGTACAATTTTTTTAAATTTGTCAGTATACATCAAAATCCTTGAAAACATAATTATGCTTTGATTTGAATTAGCTAGTGATTGTCTAAGTGTGGCTGTGGACTTGGAGTCCCTGAGACCCTCTCACAGGTCTACAGGGTCAACACGACTATTTTTATAAAAATAGCAAGATAGTATTTTCCTTTTGCGCTGTATTCACATTTGGACTTATGGTACAAAAACAATGGTGAGTAAAACTGCCAGCTCCTGAGCATAAAACAAGGCACAAATCATAGGCATCATAACTGTACTAGTAGTCACTGTATTCACTGCCACACACGTGCAGGAAAAACAAAACAAAACAAGACTTTCACTAAAGAATATTCTCTTATTAATTGCATTAAATCTCAACCCTTGAATACACAACCTTTTAACATTCTGTATGACTAGAGTAAATACAAAGCACATATACTTCATATCAAAGTATGATGGTTGCCTCCCAGGAAAGCACTTGTATGACTGTTTGAGAGCTGAACTAGCTACTTTTTCTAGGGAACACCATTTTTACTTGAATTAATGATAACAAAGTATATTATTCAGATTTAAGTATCTGGCAGACACTTTCTCAAAAATAAACAATGTGAGCCTGTCATTTCAAGGAAAACAACTAATAGCATTTGTTGCCAATGATAAAATTTGAGCTTTCAAGGGAAAATTCAAATACTGGAATGCTCATATCCATCACCACAAGCTTGACAGCTTCAAATCTTACAGACTTCTGATGAGATTAGAGATGATATTAACAAATGTAATTTTTTGATATTGTATAATGAAAGGTGACATTTGTAAGATCTGCACAACTCACAAGCAACATTTTACAAAGGAATAATGCACGATGATAACAAATCAGGCATGGGTAAAAGATCCATTCAAGTTCAAAATAGGCCAATGGATTGTAATGCAACAAGGTAACAATCACCTTGATGTGGTGATTCACCCACCTCAGCCTCAGGAGTAGCTGAGTAGCTGGGTCTAAAGGCACATGCCACCACACCCAGCTAATTTTTTGGATTTTTATTAGAGACGGGGTTTTGCTACGTTGCCCAGTCTGATCTGGAACTCCTGGCCTCAAGTGATCCTCCCATCTCGGCCTCCCAAAGCGCTGGGATTACAGGCGTGAGCCACCACACCCAGCCCTAAATAGCTCTTTAATCCCTTCTTTTGCGGATTAGTAGTTCAGCTCTCTCTAAATAAAGTTTCCTGTGGAAGGAGAGTTGTTATTTATTCCCTGTATGGCATTTGGGAGAAGTGAAAAAGATTTGAGTATATCATGAATAAGAAAGAAAAGAGCATAAGAGAATACACCAGACAGAAGGGAGGCTTTTGTAAGTGTTGATTAAAGTAACAGACACTTACTTATTATAGAGAAGACAAGGTATTTGCTAGAGAAAAGAACGAAAAAGAGAAAAAGAGGGAGAGGAAGAGAAAAAAAAGCAAAATTACAAGTGATTGCATACATAGTGAGAGGAGAATATCAAAATGTATGCTCTTTCTTAAAACTGCCCAGAAAAATCTACCTATTCCCTTGGCTGACCAGTCTTCACCCATTTCACTGTTCATGTGCAGAACTGGCAAGAGTTAATGACAGAAAATTAAATTATGTGTCAATTTTGTTCCTTCTTAGCAAGTCTGATAAAATACTAAAGGCTATAAAGGGATAAATATTGCCCTAAATCAAATCTGGATAATATTGAAAAGAGACTCCTTCATTTTACAGACTAGGAAAACCAAGTCCTTCAAAAAGCAAAGTCATAACAGAACTTAAACTTATGCTTCAATTTGTACTTTGATACCTATTATCCAATTACCTTTCTTTTCTCAAGAAATTACTTCTGTCGTGTTTGTTCAGGGACTGAATACGTCAAGGATGGGGAAGCTCTCCATTAGGAATAACCATGCTCAGTGCCACAAAACAAAATGGTACAGGTTTGGATTTGGTTTTTCATTAGGAAAAAAGTAAACAAACATTCTCTGCTTTTAACACAACATAAATACAGTGACCTGGTTGTCCTCAACTGGTTCCTCATGTAATGTTGGGGTCTCAGTTTCCACTTCATTAAAATGAGAAATCTACATAATTCCCAAAGTCCTTTCTTAGAAAGTTGGATAATTCTAAAATCGCTGAAAAAAGAAGTGTTTGGGGGAGGAAGTATGAAATACACCCGGAATGTGTGTATGCATAACATATATGGAGAAACTTTAGATCTGGTTGTTCAAATGGCCAATGACCCAAGAGTGGAATCCCTGGGTACCCTGCTCTCTGATTGGATTGAGAACCCTTGAGGTCACTTAATTCCACAGTTAACAGTACAAGCCACAGTCAAACAGTATGAAGCCGCTTTACCTCTATGCTCCCTTGTTTGTTTCCAACGGCCAATTGAAAAGGGTCCTCCATTTGCTCCTTTCGAATCTACAATTCATATTCCCACCCATCATTCATTCCTACTATCTGTCAATTAACCTCTGGTCATTTATGAAGCACCTACTATGTTCACCCATCACCTAGCACGTACCACGTTTTCCATAAATATCTGTTGACTTGAATTTAATTGCAAGGCCTTGGAAGGCTGCCATGAACTCACCGTTAAGAGTTTTGTGTGGAAGGCGAGTGAAAGAATAAACCTTTTTTCGCCAACCTCGACCTCCTAACGCCTGACACTGGTGTTCCTCCCCACTCATGTGTGACACGTGGTTCCTAAGCGCTGCCTGGGCGGCCCAGGCACTGCTGCTGCAGGCAAAGGGCTGTGAGAGGGGAGAGATGGACACTTACCTGGGAAACCTCTGCTTCAGCTTCCTCAGGCTCTGCCTGGTAGGCGGCACAGACACTAGGCACTGGGCTATCTCGTCGTACTGAGCTTTGGTCAGTATCATGTTGGGCCAGGGACCAGGAGGTGGCGGGAACAAGGAAAAAACACCCTGGGGCTCAAGTAGCCTTGGTGCCGAGGGATGAGGGGTAGGCAAAGCGGCACAGGCCCGGGTCCTCGCCTGCTTGGCTTGCCCCAATCCCCCCTGAAACACACCCCTAGCTGCAAAAGCGGGGCGGAGACTCGCCCGGTCCCAGGCTCCACCGGCACCTCCGCGGCGGGGACTGGCTGTACACCAGAGTGCCCTAGCTTGGCTTACTGAGCAGCCGCAGTGGTGCGCCGAAGGCAACTAGCCGCCATGTCAGTTAAGGGCAAACCAACCAGGAAGTAGCGGCCGCCCTTGGAAAGGCGCCGCGCCAGAGTTTCAGTAGGCAGGTAGGAATCCAGGGCATCGCCCACCTAGGATCAAAGGGTCAACAAGGGATGCTTTGTACTCTCCCAATTACTAGAAGCCAGGGCGGCCTGACGCACAGACCAGGCGGCAGGTCTCACGAGTGCCCCGCGATCCTTCAGCGTGAGCCCCCGAAAGCCCCTGCCAGAGCGCGCGATTTGAATACACTTCCTAACGCGCCAGTTTGAGCGCTCCTCGGAGCGTGGACTGGCCTGCCGAGAAACCATGTCTTCACTCTACCAAGTCTGTCATGGTCCGAGCAGGAAAACTCACTAGGGTCGCTGTAAACATAATTTGGCTTGTGTTGAGGAAGCCCTACAACTTCTGTACATCGCGTGGAAGGCAGTTTTGTCCTTGTTGAGAAACAGACTTGAAACAAATCCGACGTCATCAAACAGCCGGCAGTAAAGAATGTCACTTTTGGCCGGGCGCGGTGGCTGACGCCTGTAATCCCAGCACTTTCGGAGGCCGAGGCGGGCGGATCACGAGGTCAGGAGATCGAGACCATCCTGGCTAACACGGTGAAACCCCGTCTCTACTAAAAATACAAAAAATTAGCCGGGCGTGGTGGCGGGCGCCTGTAGTCCCAGCTACTCAGGAGGCTGAGGCAGGAGAATGGCGTGAACCCGAGAGGCAGAGCTTGCAGTGAGCCAAGATCGCGCCACTGCACTCCAGCCTGGGCGACAGCGAGACTCCGTCTCAAAAAAAAAAAAAAAAGTCACTTTCACTCCTTGCAGTTAGCTGCTCAAGGTCTAAAATCGCATCTTATTGTAACCCCAGTTCTCAGAAAATAGTAGGCGCTCAATAAATGTTTGGAGTAATGAGCCAATCTTTTTTTATTTTCTATATGTATTGTGAATGGATCTCAGTTCTCCTAAAGCAATTTGTTGGGATATCAGTCCCTCATTTAATCTCTTTTCTAAAATCTGTTTGGTTCTTAGAAGGTCATGTGTTGTGTTTCTCTTCTGATTTCAACAATTTAAGCAAACTAAAGCAAAGGTGCTTAGACTTTAGAGAACCTGTAAGTGGTTTAAAATTTTTCATCTGGAATAATGCCTGGGTTGGAAGTTTTAGATATACCTCCTTGAATAAATTCCTTAATCCATCGAAGCCTCATTTCTTTTGTCTGTAAAACTGATTTAATTCATGGAGGTGTTTTATTTGTGTATGTTTGATGTAGAGATGGAGTCTTACTCTGTCGCCCAGGCTGGAGTGCAGTGGCTCCATCGTGGCTCACTGCACCCTCGAACTCCTGGGCTCCAGCGATCTTCCCACCTCAGCCTCCCGAGTAGTTGGGACTACAGGCACATGCCACTACACCTGGCTAATTTTAAAATTTTTCTCTAGAGATGAAGTCTCGCTTTATTGACCAGGCTAGTCTCAAACTCCTGACCGGAAGTGATGCTCCAGCCTCTACCTCCCAAAGTACTGGGATTACAGGCATTAGCCACTTCGCCCGGGCATGGGCTGTTTTTAAGATTAACAGGCTGGTACAAATAAAAGATTATATAGCGTGGTGTCTAGAGGATAGTCTATGTGAAATATTAGGTTGGTGCAAGAGCAACTGCGGTTTTGGCCATAAATAAATAGGCTAAGTAAGACTACTTGATAAAAATGGACAGGGCGTTTACTAGGTATTGTTTTACAGGCTCCCCATGCACAGACTCGCTTAATCCTCATAACTTCCTGCCAGGCAGGTACTATTGCTGTTATCCTCCTCTTCCCTTTTGTACAGAGTGAAAAAACTAAGACATGAAAAGGTTAAGGAACTTCTAGAGGTCATGAGGATAAGTAGCAGTAGTAAGATTTAAACTCCTGAAATTTGGTTCCAGAGTCAGTGCTCTTGCCAACTTTCAGTAATGCTTAATTACTACATCAAATAGTCACACTGTCTTAAGCCAAAGGTTAAGGATTTTTTTTTAAAGGGAATATTGTACATTTCAAAGAATCTTTTAGCCTTGGTTTTTAAAAACTTCACTACTTTTAATTTTCTGAGGCATCTCAAAATCCAATACCAACAGTGGATCCTGAATTTAACAACCATAGTTTTTCCTGAATATTGACATCAGAATGTTTTCTTCCCATATGCTTTGCATCTAGCTCTGATTGTGTGACATTAGTACATAACTATTTATTTATGGCAGCGTGGCCTGGAGTTGCCACCTGGCTAGTTTGTTGCTGACCCTGCCATGACTTTTACATGAAAGCTAGCTGACGATAAGCAGACACCACTTGATCCTCATTCCTTTCCCCTTCCCAACTTTACTCTTTCCTTCACAGCCATCAGATTTTTATAGAAAACAGCAGTTCAAGGATGTTTGCACCAGTTTTTTTTTTTTCTTCTAAAACAAAAACAAAAACAAAACGGGATACATATACAGAACGTGCAGGTTTGTTACATAGGTATGCATGTGCCATGGTGGTATGCTGCACCTATTGACTCGTCCTCTAAGTTCCCTCCCCTCACCCCCAACCCCCCAGTAGGCCCTGGTGTGTTACACCAGTTATTTTTATAGCAGCTCTTCTCTCTGGCTCTTGTCCTGCATTCACCATCACAACCCTTCAGAAAAATGCCAGGTTTGTTTTTCTGTTTTTATTTTTAACATGTTGGCAGTTTATAATTTTGACCCAAATCCAGTAGATGGTTTAGAATTAGTGCTGGGAAAAAACCACAGTTATGTTGCTGTTTTCATTGGCAGTGACAGTGGTGTTGTTTATTAGGCACAAAATAGAAGCAAAGCAAAAATTTCTAGTTGTTGTTGTTTAGGTTTTTTTTTCTTGTAATGTGAAATGGCTAGAATAAGCTGATTATTCCTCTGAGGCATCTTTTCTCCCTCCCTTAGCCTCCTCCAGCTTGCTCCCATCTCTCGTCATATCCCATGCCCCTCATCTATTGCTGTTACTTCTTCTAGAGCTGCCTCTCCATTCCTGAAGTTCCACACTGTTTCTTAGTCAGCCAGCAATACCATTTCCCCACTAAATGGAGTAGAATCACGAAATGAAAACACCAAACTAAAAACCCAAAGAACAGGCTGCCTGTTTAAAATCAGCCATAAAATGTGTGGCCTTTAGCAACTGATAGCCTCTCTAATTCTGAATGTCCTCAATGGGAGAAAGAATCTAAAACTATGGAAAAGGTAGAGGAAATCAGCAAAAAAATGTGTCAAACTGGGGACCAGTACAGCTCCCTGGAAGAACCTATAGTCCTGGATGGACCGGAGTGAATCACTTAACTAGATTTCTTTCTGCCAATTTTTGGATGACATGACTGTTGAACAACTTTAAAGGAGTATGGAGTTTGGCAGGGAGGCATCTAAAGGTCATTTCACGAAGGGCACTAACACAAAAGACTAAAAGTAGGAATGAGCCAGTCACATGCATGGGAAAGTTATTCTGGTTGGAGCAAAGAGTTCTGGGCAGAGTAAAAGGAGTTGAGGATGTTTGACCTTGGAAAGAGTCAGTCATGTTTTCAAACAGACTGTTGTTCACTGAGTCTGCCAGAGCCAATGCATGTTTTAAAAAATAAATACTGACATATTGTTTTTATATATTGTAAAATCTGATTATTTTGATGGAGTCTCAAAGTTATCACATGGATTTAAAAAAAATAATTGAAGTTTATTAACTGGATAGAGAAAAAGAAGGGAGCTAATATTATTTGAGCTCCTATTATGCATAGTCATTATCCTATTATACCTTATCTCACTTAATCTTCACAGTGACCCTATGCTATAGAGTTTATAGTCCCTGATTTACAGATTAGGAAACTGAGACTCAAAGAGAGTAAGAACTTACATGATGTGTCCAACTACTAAGTTGCAAAACTGTGATTTGAACCCAAGTTACTCTGAGTATAAAGCCTCATGTTCTCTATTGCACTGTATTGTATTGTGTGTATTGTATTGTAATTCAAAAATGATTTAGAAAACTTTTTGGTTGAATTATCCTCAGTTACGCATTTATTCTGTGAAACGGCCTGAAATAGCTGGCTGCTTTCTTTGGCCACCAGATGACTGTTAAAGGGACAATGACCTTCAATTTTGACATGTAGCCAAAACACACTTTGAAAAATATTCTTTGGCCACTTTGACTAGAAAAGATGTTATATTTTTTACTTTGTACAATGGGCCACCACCTTAAGTAATATATCTCTTGAAACCAAAGTTTATGTCTCTATACTTGCCATCCTTGAGTGACAAGTCATTTTTATGTTGGCCCCCAAATAATACAAGCTCCTAGCAAACAATAAAGATCAGAATAATTCAATTGTTTAGGCCTGCAGCAATTACTCAGTTTAATGACTTAAGGAAAACAAAGGAATCCTGCGATGGAAGGATGTTTTACACCATAATGATGAAGTAGTTATGCTAAAAGGTCAGGGAAGACCAAAAGCCAAATGTTGGTCCCTTCATGGAAGTCAATGGTAAATGAACTCTTGATCTGTGAAATCAGTTGGTCTGATTCCAGAAGATCACGTGTAGATGGAGGATTTCATTGAAAAGTCATTGCAAACAAACGATGTCCCATGTGCACATAATGGCACCTCCTCAAGCCTTTGTTATTCAATATTACTAAGAGCTAATGTTTTGGAGGGCATTTACCAAAAGCAGGAATAGTGCTAAGTACCTTACATACATATATCTTCCCTTAAGTCTCAGATCCAGCCCCAGGAGGGAAGTACTATTGTTACATCCACTTTCCAGGTAAGAATACTACAGTGTAGAAGTGGCTTCTATTTAACTCATCATTTATTTTACAACATTCTAGAATGGTGTTTATCAAACTATCTGTTTTGAGTTCCTAGTTTTTCCCCAATTTGTCATGGATGGACAAATTTGTAAAATAAGAAATGAATTAGTCAAAAAATGAAATTTAAAAAGACACACATAAAATGTAAGCCCCCAGTTTGTTAGGAGATCCAATAGACATGCAATTACTTGACAGATTAACATAAAAGATTCTAAAGGCTTATTTTCACTTTCTCTACTTACTACATCATGACATATAACAAAAAGTTTGAGGACCAGTGCTAGTTTGCTCACCGCATTTTGAGTAGCACTGTGTCTTACAAAGTCAATATCGTAAGCCAGGTATGTGCAAAGGCCAAGGGCTGATTCCAAAGTCTAGAACATCACATTCTTCATGTACTCTTGAAAGAGGAGTGTAAGACCTGTAAGCATCAACCATCATTATTATTACCATTATTCTACTGTATTTAGTTCTTCTCAAGTTATGCGTGTTTACTAAGGTTAACAATGCAAATCCTTACATGCTATTTAATTATGCACCTTATAGCAAAAAAACCCATTTTTTTCTTTTTTTTCTTTTTTTTTGAGACAGTCTCACTCTATCACCCAGGCTGGAGTGCAGTGGCGTGATCTCAACTCACTGCAACCTCCATCTCCCGGGTTCAAGCGATTTTCCTGCCTCAGCCTTCCGAGTAGCTGGGATTACAGGCACCCACCACACCCAGCTAATTTTTGTATTTTTAGTAGAGACGGGACCATATTGGCCAGGTTGGTCTCAAACTCCTTACCTCAAGTGATCCGCCCACATCGGCCTTCCAAAGTGCTGAGATTACAGGCTTGAGCCACTGCGCAAGGCCCCCAATTTATTCTTTAGATTATAAACCCATCAATCAGAGCTCATATACCTCTTCTGTTCTGAATCACACTCAGGACACAATTGGCACATGATAAAGGCTATTAATTGGCATGTGCACTTTCACTATCACTACATTTGACAAAGTTAAGGAACAAAAAGTAGTTTTTTTTATAGGGACAATTTCTCTTGAGTGTTTGTGTGTTATAGCAAAGGGAGATGTGTGAGCATGTTTGTTGAAGAAAAACTGAAGTCTCTTACATTTTCTCTCAGGCTCATCAGGGACTGGTGGATAAATTGCAGACAATTTGTATACCCTATTCCTACAGGACTAAACTTCAGATGTAATTTCTGCAGATGTCAATCACTCTTATCCCAAAGACCATTCTGCAAAAATATGCATACTATGTTCTGAGGGTTTTCTCACATTTGTAAATTCAGAAATTGAAAGAAGCTATGTTGAAAGAACTCCAGCCTGGGTGGAGTAGAGGGTTTCTTTTGGGGTGAGGGGAGAGGAATGAGAGTCAAGGAATCAAGTCTGTCCTTAATAAGCACTTCTTTCAACATAAGCTAGAGTTGGAAGCATATGTCAGATGAAGATTAGATATAAATCCCTTCACTTAAAAAATTACTCTATTTTGGCCGGGCACAGTGGCTCATACCTGTAATCCCAGCACTTTGGGAGGCTGAGGCGGGTGGATCATTTGAGGTCAGGAGTTTGAGACCAGCCTGGCCAACATGGTGAAACCCCATCTCTACTAAAAATACAAAAATTAGCCAGGTGTGGTGGCACGCTCCTGTAATCCCAGCTACTCAGGAGGCTCAGGCAGGAGAATCGCTTGAGCCTGGGAGGCGGAGGTTGCGGTGAGTTGAGATCACGCCACTGTACTCCAGT
The DNA here is from genome assembly GCF_000001405.40 of Homo sapiens. Classification (NCBI taxonomy): domain Eukaryota; kingdom Metazoa; phylum Chordata; class Mammalia; order Primates; family Hominidae; genus Homo; species Homo sapiens. Next base: position 36,572,980 of record NC_000015.10, on the reverse strand, counting down.
CTGGGCGACAGAGTGAGACCCTGTCTCAAAAAAATAAATAAATAAATAACTCTATTTTGCCTTCCCACTGGGTTAGACTTTCAAAAGATTGGGCAAGAGGCCAGTCAGTATTTATAACCCTTTCCCTCTCCATAATTGATAGAGAGTTAAGGGAAAGAATTCCTTCTGAAATAAATATAGATATAATAATAATAATAGGTTCCTTTCTTTTGAGAAAATATAGTTATGTTTTACAGTTATCTAATGTAGTGCCATCATGTAATCTATAACTGCCATTATCATACCACCTTGGCATATGGGGAAACTGAGGTACAAAATGGCTTGGAATTTTAATCAGTTTCTTTAGATTTCATTTTTAAATGTGAGGCTATAAAAATACACCTCTCTTTTTTTAACTTAATTTCTTTTTTATGATCATGAAAGAAAAATGTTTTTCGTAGCCAACAACAAAAGATCAGATACTGTAAATCATGCATTATCTCATCACTTGGAAGCCACCATAGTAACCACATTGACATTATTCCTTCCAACCCTTTTCTGCAAAATTTTTTTCTATACATAGATAAAATCAAACTATATATACACCTTGAGTCCAGCTCTTTTCTATTTCTATTACACCATGAGCAAGGTATTCTTTTTTAATTCATTAATTATTTACCTAAATAAATGATTTCTTAGCCCACATATTCATGTTTCATAGTTCAGGAACACAGGTCAGTAATGAACTTCTATGTAATTCAACCCCCCAAAATTCTTTATATTCCAAAATCACTTTGCACTCTGAAAAGTACCAGTCTTCCTCATGTCCTCAAAATCTTTCATGGAATCGTAATTTCTGTAGAAATCTGTGTATGCCTTCTTTCTTGGTTCAGCCACAGCAATTTGATAGAGAGCTGCCACCAGCCAGAATACCACAAATGCTCCAACAATGTGAAACCACAGGTACTTGGCTAGAAGGCCATACACCTGAGGTTTCGTCAAAACACTAGGAGACATGGAACTTATTTTCCTTGATAGGTGTGTCAGCCTCAACACCAGTGTCCTTCCTGGCGGATGGAGAAATGGGTGACCTGCACTATGAGCAAGGCACTCTTAAGAACACTTGGTAATTTTGACCCTAATTTCATATTAAGAATAGAGTAGTAGGTTGTGTACAGCAGATGGACTCTCACAAGCTAGTCCTTGAGATGAGATCCTTGGTGTGGCTAGCAAGAGGCTAGGCCATTCTTCAGTTCCATCAACAAACTGCAATTCAGACAATGTAGAAATGATGTAATGGGCCCTCTGGAGCAAGGTGGAGATTTCTGTGACTGATGGACAACTTTTCTGGGCATTCCATTTGCAGAGCTATGATTGAAATCATATCAGTGAGCCTCCTACCACATGTACATTCTGTCAGTCATCATGTTGACAGAGGATCCAGCATGCATTTTTTTTCAGCATGACTACTAGTTGTATCTGAACATTCAGATTCATTACAGCCCTTGATGCAGGGAGCAAATGTTTTGCATTGCCCAGAGGACAGTCACACTGGATGCCAATCTTCGTGCCAGAAGAGCTTGGGTTTCCATTTCACTTTCAAACAACAGTAAAAGGTTTAAATTGGTACAGGGATGAAAGGGATTTAAGATAATGCTGTGGGCAGGGAGCACGGGGAGGGGGCCTTAAGGAACACTTAAGCTCTATGCACACAAATCTACTTATAAAAAACAACATGTTGAATTATTTGTATAGATAGGAATTTTTAAACATAATATAAATTCTACTTAAGAGGCAAAGACCAATGTAACTCACTTATACCAACTCCTCTTAAGAAAATATGGACATTCACTTGCCGGGCGTGGTGGCTCACGCATGTAATCCCAGCACTTTGGGAGGCCAAGGCGGGCGGATCATGAGGTCAGGAGTTTGAGACCAGCCTGTTCAATATGGTGAAAGCCCGTCTCTACTAAAAATACAAAAATTAGCTGGGCATAGTGGCACACGCCTATAGTCCCAGCTACTCGGGAGGCTGAGGCAGAAGAATAGCTTGAACCTGGAAGGCAGAGCTTGCAGTGAGCCGAGATCATGCCACTGCACTCCAGCCTGAGCGACACAGCGAGACTACATCTCAAAAAAAAAAAAAGAAAGAAAGAAAGAAAAAAGAAAATATGGACATTCACATTCACAAAAACTCACTTATTCATCAGATATTTAGTGAGAGCTACCATGTACCAGGCACTGTTCCAGGCCGTGTGCATAAGCAATATATGGAACTGTCAAAGTCTCTGACCTCAAAGTTTATATCCTTCAATAAATTAGATTTACTTTATCAAATGATTATTTCATATTCCAGTTTAAAGCAAGTTAAAGAGCCATGACAATGAAATATATAATACCTGGTCCTAGACTGGATTCTGTACTGAAGAGGAAAAAGTGCTATAAAGGATATCATTGGATGAACTGTCAAAATTGGAATGCAAATGATAGATTGGATTATAAAATATTGTGTAAAATATTTATGATGTAAATAATCTCCCCCATTATTAGGAAATACACACAGAAGTGTTAGAGGTAAAGATCCATGATGTATTTATAAGTTATCCTAGGCCAGGCGCGGTGGCTCATGCCTGTAATCCCAGCACTTTGGGAGGCCGAGGCGGGCAGATCACGAGGTCAGGAGATCAAGACCATCCTGGCTAACATGGTGAAACCCCGTCTCTACTAAAAAAACAAAAATAAATTGGCCTGTCTTGGTGGCCGGCGCCTGTAGTCGCAGCTACTCCGGAGGCTGAGGCAGGAGAATGGCGTGAACCCGGGAGGCGGAGCTTGCAGTGAGCCGAGATCGCGCCACTGCACTCCAGCCTGGGCGACAGAGCGAGACTCCTCCGTCTCAAAAAATAATAATAAATAAATAAATAAATAAATAAGTTATCCTAAATGGTTTAAAAAAAAAAAAAAGAATCAAGATCAGTGAGAAAGCTGGGCATGTTGGTGCACACCTGTAGTCCCAGCTATTCAAGAGGCTTAGGTGGGACGGCTGCTTGAGCACAGGAGTTGTGGGCTGTCGTGCACTATGCCAATTGAGTGTCTTCCCTAAATTAGGCATCAGTGTGGTGACCAACCTGGAATGGGGGACCACCAGGTGAGGACAGGTGAAATGGCCTAGGTCAGAAATGGAGCAGGTCGAAGCTTCTGTGTCTGGGTGACATAGCAGTGAGACCCCAACTCTACAAATTAAAAAAAAAAAAAGATTATAAATCAAATGTAGTAAAATATCAAAAACAGGTAAATTTTTCCACTCTTTGTTGCATACAATTTTTTGTAACATTTTGGTAAGTTTGAAATTATTTCCAAATAAAAATTTTTTTTTTCTTGTTTAGGTGGTCTTTATTTCCACATCTCCAACAGGAGGGCTGAACACAAATTGAACATACTCGTGAAATCAACACCCAGATGAAGACGTAGACCAGTACCCCAGGATGCCCCTCCCCAGTATCCTTCCCACCGTTAACTGTTTCCCTGACTTCTAACACCACGGATCAGTTTTGCTTATTTCTGTACTTTTTGTATGAATAGAATCATACACTGAGTATGACCTCTCTTGGTGGTGAGGATTCTGACCTCTTTTGCTTCACATCATATCTGTGAAACTTATCCATGTTGCTGTGCGTAGCAGTATTTTCATTCATATTTGTTGCTGCACAGTAGTATTTGACCCTGTGACTTCACCCCAACTTCAACTGTGGATGGACATTTGGGTTGGTGGATGGACATTTGGGTTGTTTCGAGTTTGAGGCTACAGTCAGTGGCTAGCAACGTTCTTGCCCATGTCTCGGTGGACGTAGCTCTCGTTTCTGTGGTGTACACACCGAGGAGTGGAATTGCTGGATCACAGTTTATGTGTATATTCAGCTTTCGGTAGATACCACCAGTTTTCCAACAGGGTCACAGCAGCTTAGTCCATTCAGGCTATAACGAAACACCTTAGCCTGGGTTTTTTGTAAACAACAAGAAATTATTTCTTGCAGTTCTAGAGGCTGGAAAGTCCAAGATCAAGGAGCCAGCAAATCCAGTGTCCAGGAAGGGCTCTGTGCTTCAGGTACACAGCGCCTTCTCACTGCATCCTCACATGGTAGAAGAGACAGAAGGGCTCCCTCAAGCCTCTTTTATACAGTGCTAATCCCATTCATGACCTCCACCCTCATGACCTAACCACCTCCCAAAGGTCCCACCTCTTTTTTTTTTAAACCTACTTTACTTTGTAAAATGAGTGAAAACATAATGTTCTTAAATCATGTGGCAAACTCCCCTCAGTCATATGATTTGTAGACATTTGATTGACATGCTAATTTTCTCAGGACCTCAAAGATGGGCTTGTGTCGTCTAATTGAGATCCACGGCATAAATAAGGCAAGGCATTCAAAATCTCTTCTTCTACCTCCCCCCAATATGAACCATAGACACTTTCTGTTTCATCAAAGTACCTAGCTATTTTCTTTTATATCTATAGTAAATATATTATTATTATATAATTATGCCAGTCACTGTGTATTTGTAATTCACTTTCTCTGGGCTAATAAACACCCTAAAGATCTCAGCTATATGCTAGAAGCAGGAAATGCTACCAAATAATTCCTTCAAATTCCTGTCTTGCTTAGAACTGCACTACAGTCTAATTCGTTCATTCCATCCTGCCTGTCTACCTGCCTACCTGCCTGTCTGTCTTGCCTTTCTCCTTCACAAGAGTCAGACAATTCTCCCAGCCTCCTCCCACTATCTACCCTAGTTCTCTTGCAGGTTTTTACCCCAATAAATCTCTTGCATGTCAAATCCTCTCTTGGCCTCTGCTTCCCAGAGAGTCTAGACTAATATGTCCTCCTATCTTCAAAAGCATGCATAGAGAACTAGAGGTTAGACCTAGTCACTTTATTAGATATGAGTGTTTCCCAAGGCTTCATCTCAGCAATACATAAAAAAAATATCGTCTAAGAAGGCAGTCTAATGAAATGCTTGATACTAGAATTTGAAGTCAAAAGGACTCCGGTAGAAAAATTAGTTGGATGATCTTAATATTCAATGGAATCAAATCTTTTTCACAATGATATACATATTAGACTGTAAAAAAAAGAGACTTTTGTTTTTCTCTCTGCTTCTTTCTTACATATCATGCAGACTTTCCTTGTTTCTAAAGACAGCAAAGTAACTAGATGTAAACTTCCTTTGTTACAGTCAAAACTCTATTTGCTTCCTCAAGGAGACTTAAATGTACACCCAGATGACGTGAATTAGATTTTAACTATTCTTGTAATTCTCCAGGCTTGCATTCACCTGTACTCTCTTGGATACCGTCATTTCCACAAATGACTCATCTCAGTTTGGTTCTCTCTTAGAGAGTAACTCTTATTTCTATCTTGCTATTAGCTCAACATATAATAACAAATCTGGCTGGGCACAATGGCTCATGCCTGTAATCCCAGCACTTTGGGAGGCTGAGGCAGGTGGATCACCTGAGGTCAGGAGTTTGAGACCAGCCTGGCCATTATGATGAAACCCCATCTCTACTAAAATACAAAAATTAGCCGGGCGTAGTGGTGGGCGACTTAATTCCAGTAACTCGGGAGGCTGAGGCAGGAGAATCACGTGAACCAGGGAGGAGGAAGTTGCAGTGAGCCAACATCATGCCATACACTCCAGCCTGGGCAACGGAGCAAGACTCCATCTAAAAAAAAAAAAATTATATATATACACATATATATATATATGTATGTATACACACACACACACACACACACACGTATATAAAATAACAAATCTCTCTTTTTTATTTGAGATGGAGTTTCTCTCTTGTTGCCCAGGCTGGAGTGCAGTGGCGCCATCTTGGCTCATCACAACCTCCGCCTCCCGGGTTCAAGCAATTCTCCTGTCTCAGCCTCCCAAGTAGCTGGGATTACAGGCACGTGCCACCATGCCCGCCTAATTTTGTATTTTTAGTAGAGACAGGGTTTCTCCATGTTAGTCAGGCTGGTCTCGAACACCCAACCTCACGTGATCCGCCTGCCTCGGCCTCCCAAAGTGCTGGGATTACAGGCATGAGCCACTGCGCCCGGCCTATAATAACAAATCTTGTCTGATCTTAGGGGTCCAGAGCCATGTATCCACTTGCGTACTATGGCATATCTATCTCTGAATCCTACAGGCATCTCACATAACTCTCAAAATGAAGCTTATTTATGTACCTAAGTCTCCTTACTTTCTTGGAAAGTGGCACTACCCTCATCTTTGCCTCTACAGCCAATTGCCATGTTCTGTCACGCCAAGGAATATGCTTCTGTCACTATTTGGTCCCTTCCTTCCTTTATTCTATTAGTTTCCTAATGAGATTCCTGCTATAGCCTGTCTGTGCTCTAGTCCTCCACACTGAAACTAAGTTGATTTTTCTAAAAATACAAACATAGGTTGTTTTGAGAGGTCCTCACATACTTTTCAGACTTGAATTCTTTCTGTATATCCTGATAAACCCTATATACATTCAAGAACCAGTTGACAGACCTCATTCATTAATTACCTATTACATGCTAAGCACCAAAAAAAGTCTTCTGTAGTCCTATGAGGAAGGTATTATAATTTCAGATCAGAAAAATTGAAGAAGATAAGTAACCTGTTTAATTTCATGTAACTGATAAGGGATGGAGAAAGACTAAATCTTTTTGACTCCCAGATTATCCTTTTTAAAACTGAGATGTAATTAATACACATACTATTTAAAAAGTACACATTTTAAAGGTAGAGTTTGTTAAAGTTTGACAAACATATACAGTTCAATCATGGCATAGAATTCTTTTATTACTCCCCCAAATTTCCCTTCAATTGAAAACAATTGATCTACAATTTACATTACTTGGAAAGCACAAATTTTATATACACAATTCTAGGAGATCATTGTTTCAGTTCACTGAATCCACCTTAGTTTATGCTATTATACATGGACACATGTATTCCTCCGTTGTGGTGCTCTGGCTCCTTCTGATAACATCTACTCATTTCCCAAGTTTCACTCTTAACAGTGTCCTCTTTTCTATGCCCAAACCTTCACCATTAGTTAGCTTTTCTCTATTAGCTCCTAGTTATTGGCACTTGATTTTCATTTTTTAATTCATTTATCACTCTCATTGCAGTCTAGTGGCTAGAGTGTGTGCATGATCTCTTATTTGTTTTTCTTAGCATTTAGTCTCTTATCAGGCACACACTTAGTGTTCAAGACATATTGTTGAATAGGAAAATGCAAGATGCTAAAGGCATAGGTTGGCGCCTTAGAGGTTATATGTGAAGTTAAGATTTTATGCCAAGGCAACAGAGATCTATTAGAGATTTTACACAAAGGAATGTCACGATTAGATCTGTGTTTTAGGAAGATAACTGATAGCAGTGTACATGCATTAAAAGAGTGGTGAGAAGAACAGTTACAGGGAATTGAGTTGGGAAATCATTGCAGAAGTCTAGAAAAGGGAACATAAGGATATTGATTAGAGGAATGGAATTGAAAAGGAGAGCTCAGAATTCAAAAAAATGTTTCTATGAAAAAATACTTGCCAGACCTCAATGGGAGAGCTATAGGAGAAGGAAAATCAAGGACATTCCATGGTCTTTGGATTGAGAGAAAATATTTGCATCACTAAATGAAAAAGTTTCCATAAGAAAAACAGAAGAAGTGGGCAAATTAATTTTAAGACCCATAGGTGTAATGCAAGTAGATTGGAGATGAAAATGGAAATTTTGGTCAAGATCTCAGAAGAGCAGTTAAAACTAGAGATATAACATCTGTGCTAGATATTTTTCGTTTGTCCCTCTCCATACTTTCCAACCTTCTCTGTACCCTAGGATCGTTACCTATTTTTGGTTTCATCACTGTACTTTGGCTTCCAGTGGGTTTAGGCAATGGGAGGCACCAGGAAAAGTTCAAAGGGCCGAAAGAGAGTAAGTTTTAGATATTTATTTTATGACTCCTTCTCTTTCAGGTCCCCACAGTCTAGTTGAATCCCTATTCCAAAGGGTGCAGCTCTTTCCCAGTGATCCTTATTAGGCAGCCACTCTCTAGATTCCAAAAATGGCTTTCTTCCCTTATGCCCTTAGGCCTTGGGGCAGTTAAGACCTAGGGTACTGAACATTCCTTTCTGGTTTCCGTTATAAATAGTAAACAGTTGCTTTATTAAAACCTTCTCAATTACCCCATTTGAGAGTGCCATCTGTTTCCGGCCAGGACCCTGATGATTGACACATATAGATGGTACCTGGAGTTCTTGGAGACAAAATCACCCAAGAAAAGCAGGTAGAGTAAGAAGAGACCATGCAGGAAAACAAAAATAAATTTAAATTTCTCACTCAAGACATTTTCAGATAAATTAATTTGAGAGGAAATAAAGGAAACAGAGCCAAGGAGGAAAAGGGTTTCAGGAGGAGTCAACTCTGTTGAGATGCCCTTGTTCCTTCTGATAGCATCTACTCATTTTCCAAGTTCCAGTTTTAACAATGTCCCCTTTTCTATGCCCAAACCTCCACCATTAGTTAACTTTTCTCTATTATCTCCTAGTTAGTGCCATTTTATTTTAGTTTTTAATTCATTTATCAAAATGGTTTCAGGAGGAGTCAACAGTTTCAAATGCTGTGGGAAATCTGCCAGAATAAAAATTGAAGTAGATCTTTGGTGTTGGTGATTAGGATGTCATTGGTGACTTTTATCAAGAGGAGTTTGGGATAATGGTATAATGTGCTGTGGCAGGAAAGAGAATTTTTAAAAAGTAGATATAAATATAGACTTTAAAAGTGTGGAGTTTGGAGAAGGACAAGATAGGGTGGTACTGTGATGAAGAATAGTGTAGAAAACTTTTTTTTAAATGAGGAGAAAATATGCTTGTTTAAAGGCTACAGAGAAAAAAGTCATGGAGAAAGTGAGATTAAAGGTACAGGACAAGAGGAAATGGATGGTGTGTTAGTCAGCTAATGCTGTTATAACCAATTACCTTAGACTGGGAGGCCTAAACAACAAACATTTATTTCTCACAGTACTGGAGGCTGAGAAGTCCAGAATCAAGGCACTGGTAGATCTAGTGAGGTGTGGGCCCACTTCTTGGTTTGCAGATGACCATCTTCTCATCGTACCCTGACATGGCAGAGAGCAAATAGAGTAAGCAAGTTCTTCTGTTTCTTCTTACAAGGTGTATTAGTCTGTTCCCACACTGCTATAAAGAAATACCTGAGACTGGGTAATTTATAGATAAAAGAGGTTTAGTTAGCTCACAGATTCACAGGGTGTACAGGAAGCATGGTTGAGGAGGCCTCAGGAAACTTACAATCATGGTGGAAGGTGAAGGGGAGGCAAGCACGTCTTACATGCCTGGAACAGGAGGAAGAAAGAGAAAGGGGAGGTGCTACACACTATTAAATAACCAGATCTTGTGAGAACTTACTACCAGAAGAACAGCAAGGAGAAAGTCTGTCCTTATGATCCAATCACCTCCCACCAGGCCCCTCTTCCAACATTGAGGATTACAATTCAAAATGAAATTTGGGTGAGGACACAAATCCAAACCATATCAGAAAGGCACAAGTCCCATTCATGAGGGCTTCACCCTTAGAACTTAATTACTTCTGAAAGGACCCACCTCCTAATACCATCACATTGAGAGTTAGGATTTCAACACATGAATTTGGAGTGGAACATGCAGTTCCTAACAGATGAATAAGTTCATGGAGGAGGAAAGATGAGGGAAAAAGCTTTCATACACTTTCCTTCAAGTGCCAATTAAGGATGTAAAAATAAGGTGAGCCTCCTATCTTTATAGCATCCCACATATATCACTAACATAGGGATTGCTACTACTACTTTGCAATGATCTGTTTCCATTTTTGTCTTCCTCTGTTAGGTCCTCGAGGACAGGGTTTGTATCTTAATCTCTTTGTCCTCAGTGTATTAGACTGTTCTCACACTGCTAACAAAGACATACCCAAGACTGGGTAATTTATAAAGGAAAGACTTTTAATTGATTCACAGTTCTGCATGCTGAGGAGGTCTCAGGAAACTTACAATCATGGTGGAAGTTACCTCTTCACAGGGCAGCAGGAGAGAGAATGAGTGCCAAATGAAGGGAGAAGCCCCTTATAAAACCATCAAATCTCATGAGAACTAACTCACTATCGTGAGAACAGCATGGGGGGAACCTGGCCTCATGATTCAGTTATCTCCAGCTGGTCTCACCCTTGACATGTGGGGATTATGGGAACTACAATTCAAGATGAGATTTGGGTGGGGACATAGCCAAACCATATCATTCTGCCTCAGCCCCTCCCAAATCTCATGTTCTCATATTTCAAAACACAATCATGCCTTTCCAACAGTCCCCCAAAGTCTTAAGTCATTCCAGCATTCACTCAAAAATCCAAGTTCAGACTGTTGTCTGAAATAGGTCAAGTCCCTTCTGCCTATGAGCCTGTAAAATCAAAAGCAAGTTAGTTACTTCCTAGATATAATGGGGGTACAGGCACTGGGTCACTACACCCATTCCAAATGGGAGAAATTGGCCAAAACGAAGGGGCTACAGGCCCCATGCAAGTCTGAAATCCAACAGGGCAATCATTAAATCTTAAAATTCCAAAATGATCTCCTTTGACTCCATGCTTCACATCCAAGTCATGCTGATGCAAGAAGTGGGCTCCCACAGCCTTGAGTAGCTCTGCCCCTGTGGCTTTGCAAGGTGCAACCCCTCTCCTAGTTGCTTTCATTGGGTGTCTGTGGTTTTTCCAGGCACATTGTGCAAGCTATTGGTGTATCTATCATTCTGGTGTCTGAAGGATGGTTGCCCTCTTCTCACAGCTCCACTAGGCAGTGCCGCAGTGGGAACTCTGTGTGGGGACTCTGACCCCACATTTTCCTTCTGCACTGCCCTAGCAGAGGTTCTCCATGAGGGCTCTGCCCCTGCAGCAAACTTCTGCCTTGATATCCAGGCATTTCCATACAGCCTCTGAAATCTAGCAGAGGTTCCCAAACCTTAGTTCTTGTCTTCTGTGCACCCACAAGACCAACACCACATAGGAGCTGCCAAGGCTGGGGGCTTGCAGCCTCTGAAGCAATGTCCTGAGCTCTACCTTGGCCCCTTTTAGCCATGGTTGGGCTGCCAGAACAGACTGGCCCAGGAAACCATTTTTCCCTCCTAGGCCTCTGCGCCTATGATGGGAGAAGCTGTCATTAAAGTCTCTGACAGACCTTGGAGACATTTTCCCTATTGTCTTAGTGATTAATATCAGGCTCCTCCTTGCTTATGGAAATTTCTGCAGCTGGCTTAAATATCTCCCTAGAAAATTGGTTTTTCTTTTTTATCACATCATCAGGCTGCAAATTTTCCAAACTTTTATGCTCTGCTTCCTCTTGAATGCTTTGCTGCTTAGAAATTTCTTCTACCAGGTATGCCAAGTCATCTCTTTCAAGTTCAAAGTTCCACAGATCTCTCTAAGGCAGGGGCAAAAAGCTGCCAGTCTCTTTGCTCAAGCACAGAAAGAATGACCTTTGCTCCAGTTCCCAACAAGTTCCTCATCTCCATCTAAGACCACCTCATCCTGGACTTCATTGTCCATATCACTATCAGCATTTTGGTCAGAGCCATTCAACAAATCCGTAGGAAATTCCCAACTTTCCCACATTTTTCTGTCTATTTCGGAGCCCTCCAAACTGTTCCAACCTCTGCCTCTTACCCAGTTCCAAAGTTCTTCCACATTTTTGGGTATCCTTATAGCAGCACCCCACTTAGTGCCAATTTATTAGTACCAACAGTACCAGTTTATTAGTCTGTTCCCTTGCTGCTAATAAAGATATACCCAAGACTGGGTAATTTATAAAGGAAAGACGTTTAATTGACTCACATTTCTGCATGACTGGTGACGCTTCAGGAAACTTATAATCAGTGTGGATGACACCTCTTCCCAGGGCAGCAGGAGAGAGCATGAATGCTAAGTGAATGCGGAAGACCCTTATAAAACCATCAGATCTCATGAGAACTAACTCATTATCATGAGAACAGCATGGGGGAAACTACTACCCCCATGTGTCAATTTTCTCCACCTGGTTCACCCTTGACACATGGGGATTACGGGAGCAACAATCAAGATGAGATTTGGGTGGGGACACAGCCAAACCATATCACTTAGTGCCTAGGATATGAGAGATACTTAACTTTATTTTTTTGAAAAGTTGAAGATTTGACAACATCTTACAGTAGTTGACAGATATAATAAGAGATTGTTTTATTTCTCTGAGAAATAGTAGGTTCAGTCTTCCTTTATCTAACATAAAGAAAGATAAAAAGCTCAAGAGAAGAAGCCACAGTTTAAAACCACTGCAGCCAGGAATGTTCTGATTTTACTTAGTAAGCAAACTTGGATATTAATTTCATTTCTCATATCTTGCCTACAAAGAAGAAAAACAATTAATGAGCTGATAGGAGAATTCCAGTCATGTTTGTTTCTTGCTTGTGTACTTTTAGTTTTGATTAAGATGAATAAGTCTCTCTGAGACTTATCAATTTGGGTGATTATTAAAATCATGTTCTAAAAACTCCAAAACCCATTGATCCAGGGACACACTAGAAGGTCCTGCTGCTCTGACCCTTGCCCCAACAGCTGGTGGACCTCTCTTTAGAGTTCTCCTCTCCACTTGCAGCACCATGGACTTCAGTTTGTTTTAGGTATCTAGGTAGTATGTACACTGTATGACAATGAGATCAATTTTCATATGTGGCCAATTGAATCAATCTCTTTTCATGGCAGTGGAATCTTATAAAATCACCTTCTCTATTGCCAGAGGGAAGCACGGAATTTTAACATAGTCTGTACATATATATATACACATGCAATTTCTTTCTCAGTTGCATCCAAAGAAGATTTGAAGTGTCTAGTGTATTTTATTTTACCTGTCTCTTTTTTTGTATGGGCAGAAATTAGATCTTTAGAGATTATTAAAGCTACATCAAGGAGAGGCAACATAATATAGTGGTGAAGAACACTGACGCTAGATCCTGTTCAAATCTTATATCCATTCAGATCCTGGCTCTACCATTTAAAAGCTATATGGGCTTTGGTAAACTACTTAACTCCCCTGGGCCACAGTGTCCAGCTCCAGCTGTAAAATGAGATAATAATATCTGCTTCATAGATTATCATGAGGATTAAAAACCAGAATATGGAAGGTACTTCAACTAGTAACTGGAACGTGGCTAAATGCTGAAACTTTTATCTTACTCTTTCTTTCTTCTTTCTTTCTTTCTTTCTTTCTTTCTTTCTTTCTTTCTTTCTTTCTTTTTTTTGAGATGGAGTCTTGCTTTTGTCACCCAGGCTGGAGTGCAGTGGCATGATCTCAGCTCACTGCAACCTCTGCCTCCTGGGTTCAAGCCATTCTCCTGCCTCAGCCTCCCCAGTAGCTGGGATTGCAGGTGTGCACCACCACGCCCACCTAAATTTTGTATTTTTAGTAGAGGCTGGTCTCGAACTCATGACCTCGTGATGTGCCCACCTCGGCTTCCCAATGTGCTGACATTATAGGCGTGAGCCACTGCACCCAGCCATTTTTACTATTTCTTTATAATAACTTCCTATAAAGAATTACTTATAATCGATGTAATCGTAATAAAGCACAACAAAATGACCTAGAGAAATGTCATTCGATTATCCAATGAGCCAAGGTACCCATTTAATAATACAGTTAGCATATATAAAGTACTTTGTCTTTAGGCTGTGCTAAGGGCTTTATACATGTTATCGCTGAAAATTTTGGCAGGAGAAACAGAGGCTGAGAGAATATTGTCAATTTGCCCAACATCAAACAATTGGTTAAGTGAGATGTGAACGAGGTATTTTGGCTCCAAATCTACATGCTTAACCACAAAACTCCATTGCCTTTTCTTCACACAACTATTTTCTTCCCTTGGCAAAAATATTAGTCAAGATATGATTAGGCTTAGTTAAATCTTACAAACAAATCTAACAACACTTTTAGTGGGAAATGCTACAGAATTGTGATTGCTTGTCTCAGAACTGTCATACTTTATTTATCTGAGGAATATTAGCATATTTTATCAGATTGACATGATTTAGGATTCAAACGTTTGAAAAAGTGTTCCTTAGCTTTCACTTTAGAATACACACAGCTACCTGAACCTTTGAAAGATCCAGTTAGAAACCCAATCCCCTTTTTCCCATGAATGAAGAATACCTACCGATATAATGTGTATGAATTAATTTTTAAAAGTAGAGATTTGCAGAATGGTCATAAAGACTTCCACCAATTAAAAATTTTAAACTCAGGAAGATACTAGATTCAGAAAATTTCAAACGGAATTTGTTTGCTCATGCTTAATGAAAGGAGGGGAAATAAATCCGGATGTTCTCATTTCTTTGTATCTGTAATGTGACCTCCCTTTAAAACAAATTCATGCTTTCATAAGTCACATTGCATCTAAGTAATTTTGCTTTAGACACATTGTTTATTATGAAGAAATAGGTGTAGTACCTTTTTCCTCAAATTCCACTTTGTAAAAGAAAAATACTTCAGGTAAAAATTATATATTTAGTATTTATAAATCATTTTTCAGGTTTCCAGCTAATAGCCTACTCCAGAAAATGGCAAAACATACATAACAATGTGGATATTAGTAGTTTCTGATACCCAGTTCTGATTACAAATCACCATATTTACCTTTCTAAAAATTTCTTGCGATAACATGTGAATTTTGGAATAAAACATCTCACAAATCCAAAATTAGAAAAATTGTTTATATCAGTATATAGTAGGTATAAAGTGGATAGATTATAGCCCAAAATTTTAAATGAATTTTCTCTTGACTTAATATATAGAACTTTCTTAATGTATTAATTGGGTGTTTTTAAAATAAGCCATTATATTTATTTGCCTATGGAGGCTGATTAATATAGTGGTTGAGAGCTAGTAAACTGTTCAGAAAAAACAACCCTGATTTGTAGTATTTGCCAATTTCCACTATGTAAATACATAATATTTCCACCATAGCCAATTTCAGTCTGTGAACATGAAGTTACTGAACTTGAAGTTGGGAAAAGATGCAGGCAATTAGTTTTCAAGCTTGTAGGATTCAGCTCCTGCATACCACCTTTGAGATTCCAGGCTTAAAGTTGGCAAGACCTAAGCTTACCTTCTAGTTCTGCTACATACTAGATGTATGAATTTACTTAATCATTTTCATGCTCCAATTTTGCCAGATATAATATAAAAGCAGGATAATACTTGTACCTATCTGCAGTGAACAGATGAGATAATATCTGCAAAGGACTTAGCAGAGGACTTGGCATATAGAATGGGATTTTTATGTGTTAACTCCCCCATTCTCTGGCAACCACTAATTTACTTTCTGTTTCTATATATTTGCCTCCTCTGGGCATTGCATGTAAATGAACTTAAACAATATGTAACCTTCTGTGTCTGACTTTTTTCATTCAGCATAATGTTTTCAAGGTGCATCCATATTGTAGCCTGTATCATTACACACTCCTTTTCATCAATGAATAGTATTCTACTGTATGGATATATCACATTTTAAAAATCCGTGTATCAGTTGATGAACATTTGGTTTGTTTCCATTATTTGATTATTATGAACATATTGCTGAAAGACTTAATATTGTTTAAGATGGCAATACTACCCAAATCTATAGACTCAATGCAATCTATGTCTATATTAATTAAATCTATACATCTATAGTCAATTGATTGTTGACAATGGTGCCAAGACTATTCAATGTGAAAAAAATAGTCAAACTCATGTGCGAGTTTTTGTGCAAACATATGCTTTCAGTCCTTTTGGGTACATACATAAGATTGGAATTTTTCACTAGTAATGTATGCAGGTTCCAATTTCTTCATATCCTCACCAAGAGTTATTAATTCCTATTTGTAAAATTATAACCAATTTAGTGTATGTTTTATTAAGTGTATATTTTATTAAGTGTATGTTTTATTAGTGTATATTTCATTGTGGTTTTGATCTGCATTTCCCTAATGACTAATGATGTGGCTAACCTGTTCATGCATTTATTTGCCATTTGTATATCTTTTTTGGAGAAATAGCTGTTTGTCCAAAATATCCTTTGTCCAGTTTGTTGTTGTTGTTGTTGTTGTTGTTGTTGTTGTTGTTGTTGTTGTTTGGGATGGAGTTTCTCTCTTGTTGCCCAGGCTGGAGTGCGATGGCACAATCTCGGATCACTGTAACCTCCATCTCCCAGGTTAAGCGATTCTCCTGCCTCACTCTCCCAAGTAGCTGGGATTACAGGCGTGTGCCACCATGCCCAGCTAATTTTTTGTATTTAGTAGAGACGAGGATTCACCATGTTGGTCAGGCTGGTCTCAAACTTGAGCTCAGGTGATCCATCCACCTGCCTCCTAAAGTGCTGGGATTACAGGCGTGAGCCACCGCGCCTGGCTGTCTTTTTTCCAGTTTTTAATTAGATTGACTTTTCATTGTTCCTTTTTGTCTGTTTTTACTTCACTTGTTTTTAAATACTTTTGAGGAATTTTTATTGTTCTTTATATAAAATATATTCTGGGCATGAGAACTTTATCAGATATATGATTTATAAAAATGTTCTTTCACCTTGTGGATTATCTTTTCACTTTCTTGAGAGTGTCCTTTGATGCACAAACATTTTTAATTTTGATTAAGTCCAACTTATCTATATTGTTTTGTTGCTTATGTTTTGGTATCATAGTTAAGAAATATCACCCAGGCTGGGCACGGTGGCTCATGCCTGTAATCCCAGCACTTTGGGAGGCCAAGGTGGGAGGATCACCTGAGGAGCAAAACTCCGTCTCAAAAAAAAGAAAAATTGCCTGATCCAAGGTTATGAAGATTTACATCTATGTTTCCATAAGCTTTGTGTATTTGGTCAATTCTGAGATTAATTTTTATATGTGGTGTTAGGTATGGGGTCCAGTTATTTACATATGGACATCCAATTGTCCCAGTGGCATTTCTTAAAAAAACTATTTTTTCTTTATTGAATAGTCTTGGCACCATTGTCAAAAATTAATTGAGCTGGGTGCGCTGGCTCATGCCTGTAATCCCAGCACTTCGGGAGGCTGAGGCAGGTGGATCACTTGAGGCTGCTGTTCAAGACCAGCCTGGCCAACATGGTGAAACTCTGTCCCTATTAAAAATACAAAAATTAGCCAGGTGTGGTGGTGTGTGTCTGTAATCCCAGCTACTCAGGAGGCTGAGCTGGAGAATCACTTGAACCCAGGAGGCAGAGGTTGCAGTGAGCCAAGATGGTGCCACCGCACTCCAGCCTGGGCAACAGAGCGAGACTCCATCTCCAAAAAAAAAAAAAAAAATCAAATTGACTATAGATGTATAGATTGCATTAATACAGACACAGATTTCATTGAATCTACAGATTTCGGTAGTACTGCCATCCTAACAATATTAAGTCTTTCACTTAATGAATATAGCATGACCTTTTATTCATTTAGGTCTTTAATTTATTTTAACAATGTTTTGAAGTTTTCTTCACTTCCTTGGTTAAATTTACTTCTATTCAATTATTTTCGATGTTATTGTTAGTAAGTTGTTTTCGTAATTTCATTTTTGGATTGTTGCTGGCTAATGTATAAAAATATAACTTACTTTTGTGTATCAATCTTGTGCACTGGAACTTTATTGAACTTGTTTATTAGCGCTAATAGGTTTCATATTTTTTACTCCTTTAGGGCTTTCTATATCATTTCCCTTAATGATATGAATAGAAATGGCAAGAGTAGACATCCTTGTCTTTTTACTGATCTTAAGGAAAAAGCTTTCAGTCTTTAACCATTAAGTGTAATGTTAGTTGTGGGTTTTTCATAAATTACCTTCATCAGGCTGGGGAAGTTCCCTTCTATTCTTAGTTTGTTGAGTGTTTTTATCATGAAAGGGTATTAGATTTTATCGCATCCTTCTGTTTATGGAGATGCTCATGTGGGGTTTTCCCCCTTTTATTCTACTAATATGATGTATTACATCGATTAATTTTTTTCCTGTTGAACCAACTTTGCATTCCTGGGATAAACTGCTTATCATCTTGACAAGATTTAATTCATTTAATATGCTCCTAGATTTGGTTTGCTAGTATTTTGTTAAGGGATATTGGTCTGTATTTTTCTTTTCTTGTAGTGTCTTTACCTAGTTTTGATATCAAGGTAATAGGATCCTCATAAAATGAGTTAAGAAATGTTCCTTCTTATATTTTTAAAGGGTTTGAGGTTGGGCACGGTGGCTCATGCCTGTAATCCCAGAACTCTGGGAGGCCGAGGCGGGTGGATCATCTGAGGTCAGGAGTTTGAGACCAGCCTGGCCAAAATGGTGAAACCCTGTCTCTACTGAAAATACAAAAAAAAAAAAAATTAGCTGGGCATGGTGGCACACACCTGTAATCCAAGGTACTTGGGAGGCTGAGGCAAGAGAATCGCTTGAACCTGGGGGGTGGAGGTTGCAGTGAGCTGAGATTGTGCCACTGCACTCCAGCCTGGGCAACAGAGCAAGACTCCATCTCAAAAAAAAAATAGTGTTTGAAACGGTTTGGTGTCCTTTAAAGATTTAGTACAATTCACAAGTGAATACATCTGATTCTGGGCTTTTCTTCATTGCAATTTTTGATTACCAATTGTCTCTACTTGTTATAGTCTATTTAGTTTTTTTTTTTTTTAGTGAGTTTTGATAACATGTATATTTCAAGAAATTTGTCCATTTCATTTGGGTTATCCAATTTCTTGACATACAACTCTTCATTGCATTCTCTTATCCTTTTTATTTCTGAAAGGTTGGTAGTAATGTTCCCACTTTCACTTCTGATTTTAATAATTTGAGTCTTCTCTTTTTTTCAGTATAGCTAAAGACTTGTCATTTTTTAATCTTTGAAAAAATCAAAAGTACCACCTTTTGATTTCATTTATTTCTATATTTCCTATTCTCTATTTTGTTTATATCTCCACCCTAATATTTTTATATCTTCTTTCTCTTTGTTTTCAGTTTATCATGTTCTTTTCCCTTTCTTTTTGTTTCTTATTGTGGAAAGTTAGGTTATTGACTTAAGATCTTTCTTCTCTTATAATGTAGTTGTTTACAGCTATAAATTTCTCTCTGAACACTGCTTCTGCTGCATCCCATATTTTGATATGTTGTGTTTTTGTTTTTCATTCATCTCAAAGTATTTTCTTATTTTCTTTGTGATTGCTTCTTTGACCCATTGCCCCAACTCTTATTTATTGCCTATAAATATTTTCAGCAAATGCCTTCCAGATAGTGCTTTGGTGCTGCATGAATTCCAAGTTAGGCAAGATAAAACAAGTTTTTTGAGTCAAACTTCTAGGGAGCTACTGGTTGATCAACCAAGGGAAAATCTTTATAAATGAGGTTCATTTTGTTTTTTCCTATTCTGGGAATGCAGGCTTTTATTTTTAAGGCTGCAGCTGAGCTGGGGAGTGAGTTGGTGATGAAAATATGAAGTGGAGGGTAGAGGGATGTTGAAGAGGGAAACTTGTGTAGAGAAAAGACTTGAACTTCAGATTTAGGCAGAACTGAGTTTGGGTTCTGACCCTCTCACTTATTATCTCTTATTTTATGCAAGAAAATCAGTATTTAACCTCTTAAACTCTGAGTCTCTTTTTGCGGTAAATAGGGGCGGTAATATCTACCTTTTACATTGTTCTGAGGAATAAATGTGCTGTAACCTGCCCGGCACCATTAATGGCACATAGTAGGTGCCCAATAAACATCAGTTCTGATCTTTTCGACAACACCACTTCCATGAATGTAAATATGGACAACCAACTCTGGTGGTGGCAGTGTTTGAAGGAAAGAGAGAGAGAACAATCTTGCCATATGCCTAAACACTCAAACCAGTTAAGAACATGGGGAAGAGAATGGATTTGATTCTAACTGGAAGCAGTATGATGTAGTGATAAGAAAGAAGGTTTTAAAATTAGATACAATAAGTACAAGTTTCATCTTCTATTCAAGTAGATGTCTGATTTAAAGTCATTTTTTAAATTATAGGAACTTCAGCTTTCTCATCTGTAAAATGTAGATAATAATACATGTTATTGGACTTAATGTGAGAACTTAATGAGGTAAAACTTCTCAACATTACCTGGAGAAAACATGAATTCTAAATCTTTATCTGCAGAAGCAGTAATATTCATTTCATCTACAGGGGGATGTTGGGTGGGGAGAATATTGATTCTTCCTTTTTTGTTTACTGCAGTCATTAAATAGGCACTGCCTGTTTTAATTGACCATTGTAATAAGTCTCATTTCGATTGGATCATATTCATGAGTTAGGGCAGATTGGAATCGACGGTCTAGTTTCTCTGGTGAAAATAGGCTGTGGAATACTATACTATTTCTTTAAAAATAATAGCTGCTACTTCATGACTGCTTACTTGGTCTAGGTTCTTTACCCAAAGTTTTGCTGATAGCCAATGAAACCCTCCAAAGGAATTGAAATTCTAAGGAGTCCAAACTACATGTTCAAGATTGCACAGCTTGTATGTGGCAGAGCCAGAAGATAAATGCAGATCTCTGTGAGAGCTCCCCTTCCTGCCTCAACTGGTTCTCTCCATGACCTCACCAGGCCTTTGCTTTCTCAGTTTACCCCAGGTAGAAAAGGTCCCTCCCAACAGTAAGCCTTCATAGCACTTTGTTTTCACTTTTCACATGGCATATATATATATATTTCTCTACTAGTCGTCAAAGTCATTTGAGTTCTTGTATTATTTCCTTGAATCAATTATACTCCTTGAGGAGGAGGGACACTATTGCTCACCACTGTATCAACAGGAATGCTTTCAGCTTCTCACAATAGGGACATTTAATTGTCTCACAAAGTAAGTCTGGACATAGGTGGCAGACTATTTCTTTTAATAGACTATTTCGTTTAACAGTTTCTTAAAGGGCCCAAGCTCTTTCTCTTTCCTCTCCACCATACTTAGTGTATTAGATTTTTATTTTCTGGCCTGTCACTTCACAGCTGCAAGGTGGCTGTCACAGATCTAGGTATCTGGTTATTCTTCAAGATAAGAAGAGGGGAATGGACAGCACCATTGAGCCATCTACTCATGCCTGTGCCTTATAAGACAAGAAACGCCTCCCAGGAGCTCCCTCATTAGCTTCCCTGTACTTCCCATTCCAATACTGGGTCCCTTTGTAATTCTTCAAGTGTACAAATACTACCACTACCCAAATTTCCCCGAGCACAGTGAATTCCAGCTGAGGAATTTAAAGACCCTTTTAGAGCCTTAGTGGCAGTTACAATCTATGTGATATTAAGTAGAGGACGAGAAAGCTGAGGGCATACTTAGATACTGCACAGCTATTGAGGATCCCTTTCCCAGAGTTGTGCCAATTTTTCTACACCAACTTTATATCACCTGAAATTTAAACTCATGCCTCAGCAAAGTTGCAAATTGCATGATAGCGAAGATCTTTGAGCTTGCTAACAGTAAGTCCCTCACTGTTAGGTCTGCGAACACCAAGAGTCTACTTTAACATCTTTTGTGATGAAGAAGGTGGACTGTGCAAGTTTCTTGCTGAATTATTACCTCTTACTTTCTTAAGAGAAAGTCTTTGTTGATCGCTGACTTTCAGACCCTAAGCATATGTTTAGTTATAGTTCCCTCAGGTGCCAACAATAGGTAGAATAAACTTAGAGATGTTTCAGGTGAATAGCATTTCACCCTATACCTTGGCACAAATTGTGGGCCAATTATTGATGAGTAGAGCCCAATTTCTTTAAACCTCATTGACCTTTAATACAATTATGACATGTGTCTTGACATGATTCTTCCCTCTATTGATTTGGTCTGGAAAAGTAAAACAAGAGGTGAAATGGCCCCTCAGGGTAAGTTAAAATTGTAGGTTACAGCCACGTTAAATTGCTTTAGTATACTTTGTGTCCTTTAGAGTCAGAAAAATGAAGCAATAAAGTAGGTTGATGTAAGTAATTCTTGTTTTTAAAAGGACCTTGAAGTGCTCTTAACAATATCATGGATTTGATAAGATCTGCTTCAGACTTCTTAATTTAAAATGAACATAAAGATGGTAAAGCCAAAGGAATGTTGAAATACTAGTGTTGTGCTAACAGCTTTGAAACTGAATTCATGGGAGAGGACTGACAGGAATTCTTCACTATTGTCTGCCATACTTGGGGAAAATTAAAGCAGCAGTCACTGCTAGGAATTTCCTGGGGGGCATATCCAGGTGTACAAAATATTTAGGAGGGTTTTAAATGTTTTTGCTCATTACTTATATGCTATCAAGTTCAGACAGTGTTTAAAACTTGGGGAATTTTTCAAGTTTTAAATCTTAATTTTTATGACAGCCAAACCTCTTAAACCTGACTGTTCATAATCTTTTCCTCTCGCCTCCGCTTTCTCTTTCTTGCCTGTGATTATTGTGGTGTTGATAGGCTAAGTAGAGAGCTGAAGAAAACAGAAAATATTAATTCACATAGAAAAGGAGAGAGTGCAGCAGTAGTTGGAGAAAAGAACAGACCTTGTTGGGAGGATAAGCAGGGGAGAAAAAGGGCAAGAGCCTACATGCTAACAAGAGCTGGGTTTGGTGGCAGAGGATCCGGATTCTTAAAAACAGGGAGGAGAAAGAGTTGATGTATGGTTCATACAGACAGAAATAAAGAAAGCTGGTTTCAAAAGAAGTTATTGGGCGTGAGGCATGGTGTGCTTTGAAATAATTAGGTATTTATTTAGGTTGCTTGTGACTTACTTTTGGATGTGTGACTGTTACTATTTTTTAATGGACTTGAATTTGGTTTCAAGGTAAGAATAAGCTGGTTTGGCTTTATTCTGGTTCCTATTATTATTCTTGAAGTTGACATCTTTTGCTTTTTAAAGCTCTTTCTCACCTGTCAATAATAGCAGTTCAATTGATTGATTACCCATAAAGAAAGTATATGACAGACAGAAAGAGATTCAGAGCTGGAGTTCGGTGAGAGACTACAAGGTGAACCAGAAGACATGGAATAGTTGTAGAGTACTTAAAGTTGGATGAGAGTTGGAGGCTTTTGAGATAAATGGGCAGTTTGCAGAAGTTGTCACTCCTAGGACTTCAGATACTACTCAAATACTGCTTTCTTGATATCAGCTCATGCTTCTATATATTTGACTCTAGAGCTCCGTTTATGCCATTAATAACCAGAAAGCTAGTTTCAGCCCTCTAGAGCCCTGTGTAACATGGTGTGCTAACTCAAAAATTCCATGCTCTGAAGATTATATGTTAACCATATAATTCAAGATCCTCTATATAAGTATGCTTGATTTAAGACTTGTAAAGAGCCGTTCACAAAGTGGCAATTACTACATTGCAACTAGGGATAAGGTGGCAAGTTTAAACCAAGAAATCAATAATTCCTTTGTTCAAAAACTTCAAACTCCATTGTTGCCATCAAGGCTAACGTAGCATATGGGGAGGAGTCAGTACCACTTGCTAGTGAGTCTTTCCAGCTGTGGTCACTTACCCTTAATATCTCCCTACTTGAAAAGATCACTCTATGGGATAGGGTTCCGCTCTCTTGGTCAGTGTCTGTATTCTTTCTGTGGCTGTCAAGCCTCTCCTCCGTCGAGATGCGTAGAAAGTATTTCTTAAGTGCTAACATTATGAATATTCTGTACTAGATGCAATGGTGTCTATTCTCAAAGTTCCTCCCTAATCAGTGATAAGTATGCCACTAAGAATGGCTTATAACAAGAATTTTAAAATCGCTGCAGCTGTTATATAAATTGTTTTAAATATGTTACTTTTGTTTGTTTGTTTGTTTTGTTTTGTTTTGTTTTGTTTTGTTTTGTTTTGTTTGAGACAGAGTCTCGCTCTGTCGCCCAGGTTGGAGTGCAGTGGCCTGATCTCATCTCACTGCAAGCTCCACCTCCCGGGTTCATGCCATTCCCCTGCCTCAGCCTCCCAAGTAGCTGGGACTACAGGCGCCCACCACCATGCCCAGCTAATTTTACGTATTTTTAGTAGACATGGGGTTTCACCGTGTTAGCCAGAATGGTCTTGATCTCCTTACCTCATGATCTGCCCTCCTCTGCCTCCCAAAGTGCTGGGATTACAGGCATGAGCCACCGCGCCCGGCCATAAAAATTACTTTTAATAATAGTCCTGCAATGCTGATGATGCACATGTTTGTTGCTATTTGTTCATAAAAACAGAAAACTTAGATTCATAGAGGTTAAGAAACTTGTCCAAGTTTACAGCTAACGCTAATGGCCTATATCTTTAGATTTCATATCCTTAGTCCTTTAAAATGTAACTGTATTGAGCTGAAATGAGTGATAATGTAGCTTAAAAAGGCACAGTAATAATTTTGAAAAAATATTAAAAGTAATCAGAGTGGGGTGGGTGTTGCTGAAAATATGGAACTTACTGTAGATTCTAAAGAAGGACATGAATTTGTAAGAGGATATTTATAGAAAGGAGAAAAAAATGAACAGTTATAAGTTAACAGCATATTTAATATACATTTATATATATGTACCCAAATATATATTAGAGTAATAGCTAACATTTATCTAGTACTTACTGTATGCCAGACATGAGCTATGTATTATCTCGTTTAATATTCACAACATCCCTCTGAGATGGAACCTATTATTAAACTCTATTTTACGGTTGAAGAAATGGATGCTCGAAGCGGCTTAAGAGTTAAGATCATATGTCACAGAACTAAGATTTGAGTTGCTTGGTTTCTGTAACACCACTTTGCAGAGCCATGGGTATAGCATGGGACTGTGTTATGGATACGGCTGTAGAATTCAAGGTAGCAAGAGGCCCTGCTTAGCATGGAAGGCCAACTTGTGGTAAGAAGAGTTTCAGGGAGGCTCTAGAATCATTTGGTAAATGTCCCTAAATCTTCTATTACCCCTAGTTGAAGCATTTCATCTCTGCTACTCCAACCAGCACCCTAGATAAAACTTCTTAAGCTCAGTGAATATTAAACAAGTGTAATAAAATTATGTCTTTTCACAGAAAAGAAATCTTTGGAAGAACATCTCAAATGCAACTATAATTCATCTCTCCTCACTATCATTTCCTTCATATGGGAAAAATTCTTTTGGTGTTTTCATCCAACATTACACTTTTATCTATAAATTCAATTACCACATTCATTCTCCTCTTAAACAAATTTCCCTTTTTGGTCCCAGATTTCTCCTGGCCATTACTACAAACACTCACTAGATTTCCTGTTGCCATTATCAAACTCAATATGACTGAAACTGAGCTTCTTAGCTACATTTTTATCCCTTCAAAAGATTCCCTGCAAAGGCATCTTTGTTTCTCACTGTCTGTTCTTCTCTAGCACCACCAGAGAGTTTTATATAGACCAGGATACAAGATGATTGGCTGTTTTTGGTTGACATCTCCTTAGTCCCAAGCTTCTCTTACTCAAAGTTTTTCTGCACATGGCTAAAAAGTATTGTTCATTTCTTAGTATTGCAATTACTCAGTTCACGTATGGCTGTTACTAATAACCTCCAACGACTTCTTTACTGGGTATTAACATTTGTTGGGGCTCAGAAAATGATACCCCAAAGTATGGCTCTTTGGCATGCTGAGTACTTTGAACATAAGAAGAACACAGGAAGCAAAGTCTCTTCTGACCTTCTCCTGCCCTTCTTTTTTCTGCTCCTCTCTCTGCCCCAAGGCAGGCCATAGAAACTAGAATTCCTTTTCCCCAAGGCAGATCATAAAAACCACGTCCTTCCCCGCTCCCACCCCTCCTGAAAGCAGCTATAAGACCTAGAAACATTATTCCAACCTTATCTTGTCTTTCTGTGGAAGAGCTGGCCATGAAGAAATCATCAGACCTACCTTGTCTGAAACTAGATCATGAGACTGTCATTCCAGAAGGGGTTCTTCCCTTACCAAACACAGAGGTCCAGAAGAATCTGAACTGATAGGCCTTGCTAGGTTTCCCTTCTCAGTCTATTACCATTGGATTATTCTTTTTGTGTCCAATCACATTTCTACATGGCTGTCCATTCTTCATTGAATCTAAGCATAAAAATGGACAATTTTCCCTTGGGTCTTTGGGTTTTCATTTCTGAAGCCTTCTGTGCTGCACAGAACTTTGATTATATAAATCTGCTATGGTTTATTATTGTGATATGGTTTGGCTGTGTCCCCACCCAAATTTCATCTTGAATTGTAGCTCCCATAATTCCCATGTGTTGTGGGAGGGACCTGGTGGGAGATAATTGAATCATGGGGTGGTTTCCCCCATACTGTTCCTGTGGTAGTGAATAAGTCTCATGTGATCTGATGGTTTTATAAGGCTCTCACTTGGCTCTCATTTTCTCTCTTGCCTGTGCCCAGGTAAGACGTGCCTTTGTTCTTCTCTCATCATGATTGTGAGGCCTCCTCAGCCACGTGGAACTGTGAGTCCACTAAACCTCTTTTTCTTTATAAATTACCCTGTCTCAGGTGTATCTTTATCAGCAGCTTGGAAATGAACTGATACGTATTGTTAGCCTGACCTTTGTCACAAGAGTGTTGGCCATGACCCTTATGATGGGTGAGGAAAGGTATCACACCTTTCTGCTCTCCGTACCTTTTTTCTTTAAAGCTTCTATCAGCCGATTAAATGCACAAAGTCTATTTTCTCTCTTAATTAACTCAGGCCATATTGTATCTTTTAGCCTTCCATACAAGACAGGATTAATTTTGTGCTAACATTGTTTTTTTTTTCCTTTGTTTAATCTAAAAAATTCCCAACCCAGGCTTTTCTGAAAGTTTCAAATAATTCTCTTCTTTTATTGGTTATATCTCTGCCCTTAAGACCAAAACAAAACAAGAAACAAAGACCAAAAAAAAAAAAGCAACAAACAAAAAACCCTCAAACCTCAACTTCTAGAGGTTTGTTCCTGATTTATTATCTCATTTTCCAATGTGTCAATAAAATCTCCAATCCAAACTTTCTAACTTGCCTTTGTTATATTTATTAAAAAGTGTCCATTTTAAAGGATAGTTATCACCTTGATTAGATTGTAAATCTCCTTGAGGGCAGGAGACTGTGTCTAACCAGTAATAAGCACCCAAACATTTATTAGAGAGCTGTGCAACCTCTGGGAGGTCAATAAATACTCGTTGACTCACTGACTCTATAAATATAAATAGCAAAATAATCAGACATTCTGCTGGCACCTAATTTGCTCCCTGTAGGTAAGTTTGTCTCTTTGGTAGCATTGATTCTTTTAGGCCACCAGGGTTCCATTTAGAGAATTACAATTGCCATGTGCTAACTGGTACTCTGGTAGCCTGAATGAGTTTCAGAGTCTCCCCAAATGAAGGACATTTCCCCTGAGAGTGACTGAATCTTGCTGAATACCTAACTCAACCTTTATTTTCTTCCACAACACTTCCCCTCTGAGAGGAAAGATTCCTCTGCCTTTAGGTCTTTTAGCCTTTTCACAAGGCAGAAACTCTCAAGTCATAAACAAATAAAAATGCACTCCATTTACCATATTCTTGCTATTTTACATTTTTAAAGGAAAGGATTGCTGAATTAAAGTGAATGCCAAGCAGGAAAATCACAATTTTCCTTGCAGCATTTTTCGTAAGTGAGCAGCTTTCCAACAGATCCAGCTGCCAACAGTGCCCTCCCACTGTTTGACTCACATTCAGAATTTATTTCTATGTGCACCACAATACGAAAATTTTGCAAAGCATTAAAGGAGCGTAGAATACTCCTTAGGTGTTTCATCCTTGGGTCCAGGCTCCCAAAGCTTTTCTGTTTTGCCTAGTATTCTCCACCAAACAATAATTTTTTAATGCAAGTTTAGAAAACCTTTAACAGGATAAAGTTAATGGATGAATTAGTTGCATCCCAGCAGGGAATCTCCATCTTGGATCCTGAGGAATCTGGTGTCTTTTGTTATGTAGTGAGCTAAAAATTGCAAGCAGAGTTTTAAGGAGTGGTTTGAGTGTCCTGGAGCGTAAAGACTCCAAGTTCCCAATTCCCACAACAGGACCGAAATGCTTATGAATTCAAGAGATTTATGAGCAATTCTTCTGTTGTGTTAAAACATGTGCAATTCTGGGTAAGTTGTGAGAGAGGTAATGAATGCCATGCTCTGATAATACCGGTCCATTCTCATTACAGATGTTCTGAATGCCATACCCTCCTTCCACATGCCCCTCTTGCAGTGCCTAATAATAGCAGTAGCATGGGCTGTTCCTGTGTCTCTTGAGAAAGTCATCCACACTGGCTGCACAACCAAAAGAACACAGCTACTCCAATGGCATACCCTTCATCCTGCTGGGGAATTGTGTTACCTGCTTATTTTACATGAAGCTTTCTTTTGCTCCTGACCCAGTTTCATTCCTTTTGGATTTCTTGATTTTTCTCACTCTGCATCATTTTATTTGCACACTTGTTTCCTACCAGCATGGCCCTCACCCACCTTCCTTTGTACCCAAAGAGATGATGCTCTGTGGTTACTCTTACTTAGTCCCTGGAGTCTGAACTGTACAATATTCAGTGCCCAACACCATTTCTGTATTAAATTTCTATTTATATGAAGCCTTTACTGATAGTAATAATTGATATTTATTGAACACTTCCTGTGGGCCAGGCACTGTGCTTGTGTGCTTATCATGCTATGTACAGATGTGAATCTGTGTACATAATAGCATTTATAATTGTTCTTATAGACAGCTGGTAATACTTTTAACTTCTCTAAACTACTAACTTTAGAGAGAAAAGATTGAATCTTATTTATCTTTATGTCCTTCCCCATAAACTCAGAGCCTGGCACCAAATAAATTGCTCAGTAAATGGTAATGATAATATTGGTTTGGTAGAGACATCATTAGGAAGTAAATTTTAATTTACAGAAGTTTATTCAACTTTCCATCACTATTATGGCTTGCAATTTTGGCACTCCTAAGGGGAATATTTATAGACTACTTGGGCCATTTACAATTAGTCTCTCTTTCTGTACAATACTAGCTAATCAATTGCATATTAAAATAAAGGGTCTGTATGAATAGTCTGGATTAAAATATTTGTGTTGCAAAAATCAGTACAATATAAACACACAAGCAATGTTTTTAGCAAACAGCCTGAAGTAATTCTTTCCTTCATGAGACAGTGCTATAAATGAAAGTTAAGGGTCTGGACCAGTGCTCAGGTTTCAGGAAACCCCTTCCCTCCACCTTTTCGACTTGACTTGTTTAAATGTTTCCTAGGGATTTAACATGTACATAGATAAATTGTCTGAAATGATTCATTCAGGGTTTTTGTTTGTTTGTTTTTTGAAGATGCTACTAATAAAGCAAGGTAATGTGTTAACTTAGTACAGAGAAAATTCTATTTTTAATCCTAACCCCCAGTATGACAATATATTTTGATCACAAGACATAACACGAAAATGTTGATGTCCTGGTAGAACTCATCATTTTTTTCTGGAAAAAGTATCACAATGAAGGAGTGCCTATGGTATAGTTTTTATTTTTATTTTTTAAAGTCACAGACTCTTTATACAATGTGGTGGCCATTTTATCTGAATTAAAGCATTCTTTCTGAATTTTTAATTTTCTCTTTGTTCTAATTTCCATCTCTAGATTTTCTCTTTTACGCATGCAAAATTTAAGTGTAAAAAACAGCCTCAAATCCTAAATAATGGATGGAATACAGGAAAACATAGGCTGATTACTGCAACACTGCATCATATGTTATATAAAGACAGAGTCTCAGCAATTTATTTGGCTGTGTCTGGGTGCTTGCTTAGGGAGCTTGAGATCTATTCTTTCATTCTATCAACAGCTCTTGCTGTCAATTAATTAGAATATATATTCCTATTAATTCAAGGATGTGTGATGCCTTCTTTATGTATACTACAAGCATTTCCATGAGACCACATCTGTCCTCAGTTATAACATGCAGCACTCCCACCCTGAATTTTACTGTTTCTTCCCCAATCTCCATATTGCATGCTTGCCAAACTGTATAGATGCCTTTAGGATTGGAAATACATTGCTGCTTTTAGAAATATTTTAAAATGTTGAAAGGATTTTTGCTTGATCTCTTTACAAACATAACCAAGTAAAACTAATTGAACAGACAAGGAAATAAGGCCACCTATGATTTGGCTATAATATGCAAACCAAATGGTTAAATATCCTTCCACAATGTATTTCCCCTCAACAGATATAATTATCCTACACAAACTAAAGTCCCACATCCACTTCTGAAATAATCTCAACATTTTGAAAATAGAGCTGCTAACCTCATCCTCAGTTGTTTTCATCCTCAAATCTGCATTTCCCTATGGAATTCTATACCTCAGCTAATGGCATTAAAATACACTCTGTTGCCTCAGCTAGAACTCTTCAAGTCATCTTTGACTTATGTCCCTTATTTTCCATGTCCAATTGATCATCAGACCTGTCAGATCTCTGTCAGAAGTGTCCTCTGGCTAAAGTCCCTTTTTATCATCCTCATGGCCACTGGCTTAGACCCTCATCATTTTTGTTTAGAGTATTAATACAGCCTCCTAGCTGATCTCCCTGGCATCTATCTTCCTCAAGTCCATTCTTTACATAGACATCGAAATGATCTTTCTAAAAACAATTCTCATCAAGTTACTTCTCTCCTTCAAGACCTCAGCTGGAGTCCAGCTGTTCGCAGGATGAACTCTAAACTCCTAAGGTGGGCCTACATGGGGTTTGCAACTGGGCATCAATTTACTTCTCCAGTTACAGCTCTTGTTGCTTTCTGTGAGGATGCCCCTCTCCGACTCCATTCTTAAACACCCAGATCAAACTCTTATAGTAGTTAATTATCTTCATTAAGGCCTTCACACATGCTCTCCCACTGCCTGGGGATGCTTCTTTTCTCCTTCACTATTTGGCAAACTCTTACCTTTTAAACATCATAATATCACTTCCTCTTCAAGTCTTTCCTGACACCTACAGGCAAAATTATTCTTACCCTGCTCTAGACTTTCTCATCATGCTGATAACACCTCTATTATAACATTTACTGCTTTCTTTCTAATTACCTGTTAACAACAGTTTCCCCAGTCTGGGTAACATAACAAGACCTCAGCTCTACTAGAAATTTTTAAAAAAATTAGCTGGGTGTGGTGGCATGCGTCAAAGTCCCAGCACAGGAGACTGAGGCAGGAGGATTGCTAAACCTGACAGTTTGAGGATGCAGTGAGCTATGGTCACCCGATTGCACTCCAGCCTGGATGACAGAATGAGACCCTGTCTCAAAAACAAAACAAAACAAAACAAGTCCGGTTGTAAACTCTTTGGAGAGAGGGCACTCCTAATATCTGATTCATGTTTGAATTTGCCAAGTACAAGAACATTTAATAAATGTTGCATGAATGAATGATCTATATTGATCTTCTCCCCATATTATAGTGCTTTGTAACCACATGAAATCATGTTTTTACTTATGAGTGCTTCTATTATTAACATGATATATTCTTTCCTGAAAATTTCAGTGTTCTGCAAAAACAAGACAAAGCTAACACAAACAATGAAGAAGAGCTCAGCCTAGGCAACACAGTGAGACCCCATCTCTACAAAAAGAAAAAAAAATTAGCTGGGTGTGGTGACTGCACCTGTAGTCCTAGCTACTCTTGAGGCTGAGGTGGGAAAATCATTGATCCCAGAGGTTCAAGTCCGCAGTGAGCTATGATCTTGCCACTACACTTCAACCTTGGCAACAGGGTGAGACCCTGTCACTAAAAAAGAAGAAAAAAGAAACAGCTCATGGGCAGACCACTCAAAATCTCATACAATTTGTAATCAGAGCCCCAATAAAAACAATATTTGGTATCTGAGCTGTTAGAACTCCATGGAAGTCTCCTCAGTATGGCTGGACACTGCCATAGTAGATATTAATAACACACAGTAATATTAGGGTATAAATGCTGATAACACTTTGATTAGTGTTTAGTTTAGTTTCTGTAAGATAGTTCGTTTGATTAGTACAGAAGGAGCTTTGCTGAGATAATGTGGATGGAACTGGAGTCTGAGCCAATGGCACGGTTGTCAAGGTGGGCTTGGGGGCAGTGCAACCTGCCCACAAACTGAGAGTCTCAGCAAGCTGCCTCTGGGGCAGTGGCTACCTTCTGTCTGTGGCTCTAGCTCCTTCATGGTCCCAACTCCCATCAGGTGATCGTCTGCTGGGGTTTTGGCTGGCTCTAGATAGCCTGGCTTCTGAGCTCTGGGAACAACACCTCATCTCCTTGTCACTTGGATGTGGCAGAGCTTCCTGCTGTTGCTAATTGCTGAATTGCTTCAGCTCTTCCACCATTGAGTTACCATTTCTTTATGTGAAATTGTCTCTACATCCAAGATCTCAAGTGGACTTGACTAGCTCCCAAGTGGACTTGACTAGCTCCCAATACGCTGTTGAAAACAACGTAGAGTACATTAGATATAACACAGGTTCCCATTGTCCAACTTGTAGAAAAAGTCACCATGTCTGTGTCCACCCTCTAAGAAGACAATGCCAGTTTATTGCTCTAATATGTTTTTGTGAATGTTAAATGAAGTCTTATGAATATTCCTAAAGTATTAAGAATGCCCATAAATGGTTTGCTAAGAATTACTCACAGCCCCTTGATCATGTACTTGACATGGGACGTGCCTCTCATTTCTGGAAGAAGCTGTAGAGCTTTGCTGCTGCTGCTAGTATTTGAGGACACAGCCCTGGTGACTCTGCCCAGGACCATGATGTTTAAAGGGTCATTTCACTGGTTTAAGTAGTCGATTAACAGCAGAAGTGATTGGAATGTGCTGAGAATTCCAAAATATCTGTTGCCTTTCTCCTCAACCAATTCATAAGAAACAACAATGAAAACTTCAATTTAACCAGAAAAAAAGCAAGTTCCAGATCCTTTGAGAAGTGCTGCAATGAGAAGTATAGCCACAACTTTAAAAGGCACAGGCTCAGTAGGTATACACTGCAGAACTCTGTGCTAGCTCCTCTTGCAAAAGATAATTTTTGATGTTTCCAGAAGAATAGGAGGATGGCATCTTCCTCATACCCTCATCTAACATCTGCTATTGCAACTAATCCAACTTTTATTGATTAAAAGCATTCTGAAGCTGTAATCACACATGCTAAGGAAAGAGTAATGCAGCTCTTTTGAGTCAAGATTAAGTTGTGTTTGTTGATGGGTATGGAAAAACAATATTATAGTTGGCTTCTAGATAAATACAGCAGGGACCTCTTGTAAATCCTCCAGTAATTTTTTGTAATCCTTCACAAGTAGTAAAATCATTGCTGTGAGGCAGACAGGAGATGAATCCACAAATAAGACATCTGTTATTGTTATATCAATGATGATATATGCCCAACTCTGAAATAACAACATTTAACAAGAAATGGAACCTTATCCAAAATGAGATCTCACTCACTTCCATGACTTCATTTGCTACATTAATAAGAGTAAACTGAAGTTTATAATTGGGTGATCTTATCTATTAGCATTAGTAATATATCACAGGTATAGGGCTTTATATTTTAGATTAATGGAACTCAAAATGTTGGAAAAGTCCTACGTTAACATATAGCATGCATGAACAGATGAAGACAATGATAAATTAAATAAACAGAAAAGAATTAGGGTTGTTTGCCTTTTGTTCTATGTTTTTTAAAGAAAATGTGTACTATCTCCCCCTCTATTTTCAGTTTATGTGTTACAAATTTAAGATTTTTACAATCATATATTACAACAACAACTTCAGAATATTGAGGTTTCTAGTGTTTTAATAAGATATTGAGACACCAGGCCTTAATATTTAAAATGAGGTCGCCATGGCTCACACCTGTAATCCCAGCACTTTGGGAGGCTGTGGCAGGTGAATCACTTGAGGTCAGGAGTTCAAGACTAGACTGGCCAACATAGTGAAACCCCATTTCTTCTAAAAATACAAAAATCAGCCGGGTGTGGGGTCGTGCGCCTGTAATCCCAGCTACTCAGTAGGCTGAGTTGGGAGGATCGCTTAAACCCTGGAGGCAGAGGTTGCAGTGAGCCAAGATCATGCCACTGTACTCCAGCCTGGGCGACAGAGTGACATATCGTCTCAACAGAAAAAGATAAAAGAAAATGACTGATTGGTGCAAAAAAGTGGTGGTATTAGAGGTATTAGGTAGGTAAGCCCTACTTAAGACTCACCGTATTTCTAATGCAGACTGTATTATAGCATCATACATAAAAAGAAGAAACAATATTATCTTTCTCTAAACCCATGCAAAGCACCCACTCTGGACTTTCATTAGACCTGCTTTTCAAACTACAGTTTGGAGAAATGTGGTTCTTTTTTTTGTGTGTGTATATATTTCTTAATATTAAAACAATATTTAAAAATTTGACTTTTTACACCAGGTTCAGTGGCTCACGCCTGTAGTCCCAGCACTTTGGTAGGTCAAGGTGGGAGGATCACCTGAGGTCAGGAGTTCAAGACCAGCCTGACCAACATGGAGAAACCCCATCTCTAATAAAAATACAAAATTAGCTGGGCGTGGTAGTGCATGCCTGTATTCGCAGCTACTTGGGAGGCTGAGGCAGGAGAATCACTTGAACCCGGGAGGCGGAGGTTGCAGTGAGCCGAGATTGTGCCATTGCACTCCAGCCTGGGCAACAAGAGTAAAACTCCATCTGAAAAAAAAAATTGACTTTTTAAAAAATAGGGCACATAACCATACTGAGACGATTTGGCGCACACACACACACACACACACACACACACACACACACACACACATATATATATATATATATATATATAGCTGTCTAACTACTGATCATATTAATCTGTGAAGCTACTCATGAGATAAATTATCAGTCTTTACCTTTCTCACTGTTGGGCCTAAAGATACATGTAAGTGCTAAGGCCCTTCATCTGCAGTCTCAGTCCTGCTATATCCTTGGGCTCAAATCTTGGCACTGGGAAGAACATTAGGAGATTTTTGCCTCATCAGGGGGTGGGATCTAAAATTAGTCTTGCTTCTACAAGATCTCTAAGACCTACTGTCTAATGTTAGTTCTGGTACTCACATATCCCCTAAGATGTAAGTTTCCCTTCATCTTTCTATGCAAATCCAGTGAGTGCAAATAGGCATATCCTTGGGTTTTCAGATAAGCATTCCAAGATCCTGTAGGCACTGGCTTTCTGCCCTAGATTCCAGACCACTGGCAGACGCCTTGCCTATCTCTTGTCTGCCAATGTTCCCAGGGGTTAGAACTCTTCACAGGTACCTCTAATTCCCAAATAGAGTCCTGATCCTCAAATGGACTGAAACCCAAAATGGTGACACTGTTGCACACTAAGTTTGAGATCACAAAGGACTCTCGTAGTAGTCCTCACAGACAGAGGAACTCCTACGAATACAGATAGTAATTTGTACTACCATAAAATAATAATGTAATAGTGGCCAGCTCTTATGCTGGGTCAGCTTTCTAGCTTTGTATCAATCTGCTCCTGCTTTCTCCTTTTTGCCCGTCACCCCCTAAAGTCTCAGTATGCTCCATAGACAGAGTTATACAAATTTGACATTTTTTACTGTTTCAACAGGTTAGATAAGCGTTAATGAGACAAAATCATGAATTATTTAAGTATCTGAAGGATTATATTACTTTCACCTCAAAAGTAATGTATATTGAAACATAAAATGTATTGTCATTCAGTGTGAGGAGATGGAACTGTAAAACCTTGCTTCTGTCCTCAAAGTGTTTGCATTCCAATTGGACACACACACACACACACACACACACACACACACTACACAAGACAATATAAATGTAACTGAACCATAAGAGAAAGAAAGATAACATAACTAAGTCTAGGTGGGGTGGACAAAGAAAGCTTCATGCAGGAGGTGGGGATCAGAATGATGAAGAAAAAAACTGATGACAGATGCATAGGGAGAAAAAATAAAAAAGAAACAGATAGCAAAGTTTGAAGAAAGTAAGCCACTGTCATTTAAACAACATCTAGAAAGGATTGTGGGGAAAGATTTTTTTTTTGTATTTTTAATCAGTCTCAATTGGAAGGGACAGAGCCTCCTCAAGGCTATAGCAAAACTGGGAAGAGCTTTCTGGCCTCCAAGCTTTGGCGATAACATGCCATATTAATGACAATCACTAATGGGAGAAAGCGTTGGCTCCACCAGTGGTGCTGTAAAGAAACCTAAGACGTGGTGTTTTTAATTTCATATTTCAATTCATAATTCTTTCATAATTCTATAAAGGCAAAGATGGACCCTTTTTCACTTCCATTCAAAACCCCAGGTTTCTCTGGAGGCTTCCTTTTCCCAACAGTGTTACTCTTGTACATTGCAATTGCATTTTGCAGGTACTATGTAGAAATAGGGAAATGAGAAAGGAGATTCATCCTGGGTATCGTATCTACCCCTTACCTAATGAGAGAAAATGTCAATTCAGATTGCCTTATCTAGTAATATGAGCATGAATTGGAGTGTCAGGGGGAGGAAAGGAGGGAGAGAGTAAAATTCATTTCCGGCTTGAAACTGGGTTTGGAAATACAGAGGCACTCTGGAACTGTAGAGCCATGTGCATGCTTAGTGAATGATTTAGAAAGTGAAGCAGTAAAGGTTTGTGTGCCCGCTTATCTCAATCCTATGCCTCTCTCCTACCTACCTCTGACCCATCACCTCTCTCTCAGCTGCTCAAGACTGTTATCAAGTCTCACTCATGTATGTCCTTTCCAAAAGAGAACTCTAATTCAACATTTTCCCTTTCCACCTACCCCACCCACAACTCCTACAGTCTCAATAACAGCTGTAATATATGCTGTTTATTGAATGCTTAAGATGTACCCGGCTCAGCTGGGCACGATGGCTCACTCCTGTAATCCCAGCACTTTGGGAGGCCGAGGCAGGCAGATCACAAGGTCTGGAGTTCGAGTCCAGCCTGGCCAACATGGTGAAACCCCATCTCTACTAAAAATACAAAAATCAGCTGGGTGTGGTGGCGTGCGCCTGTATTCCTAGCTACTTGGGAGGCTGAGGCAGAAGAATCGCTTGAACCCAGGAGGTAGAGGTTGCAGTGAGCCGAGATTGTGCCACTGTACTCCAGCCTGGGTGACAGAGCAAGATTCCATCTCAGCAAAACAAAACAAAACAAAACAAAAATAATGCACCTGGCTCATACGTTATTTTATCTAACGCTTATCCTTTCACAGGGAAACATCAACTCTACTAATTGAATGTAGAGTGACAAGCCCAACCTCCCAGACCATCAGTTTTCTCCTTTATAGAATGAGGAGAAGTATTTATTATACTTTATAGATCAGTTTCAGCATTACAAAGGAGGAAACAGAGGCTCAGAAACTTAGGTCACACACAATGAAAAGTGCTGAGCCAGGTTTCATAGCCATGGGGTCTGACAAAAATTTGTGCCTATTTCATTCTACTGTGCTACAGCATGAAAATGTCAAGCTCTGATTGTGAGGTGAGTGGCATGAGACTTTCTGAGTACCTAGAATCAGTCACCAGATAAAATGCAGAATGCCAGTTAAGTTGGAATTTCAGGGAGACAACAGTTTTTTTTAGTTAAGCGTGTACCAAATATTGCATGGGACATACTTAACGCTTTATTATTTTTTTGTTTACCTGAAATTTAAGTTTCACTGGACATTGTGTGTTTTTTTCCTTCTAAATCTGGCAACCCTATTAGTATTCCATAGATCACACTGTGTAGACACTGCTGAAGAGTAAGGCGTATGCTCCTTAAGGCTAAAAGGAGGTACACTTTTATTACCAAGTAATAATAGTCTGTTAGAACTGAAAAGTTACTTAGAGGTCATGTAGTCGTCATTTTACCAATGAGTGAACTAAAAATTCGGGTGGAGAAATGACACAAAGTCATAGTGGTTTTTTTTTTTTTTTTTTTTTTTTTTGCGACGGAGTCTGGCTCTGTCGCCCAGGCTGGAGTGCAGTGGCACGATCTCCGCTCACTGCAAGCTCCGCCTCCCGGGTTCACGCCATTCTCCTGCCTCAGCCTCCCGAGTAGCTGGGACTACAGGCACCCACCACCATGCCCGCCTGATTTTTTGTATTTTTAGTAGAGACGGGGTTTCACCGTCTTAGCCAGAGTGGTCTTGATCTCCTGACCTCGTGATCTGCCCGCCTCGGCCTCCCAAAGTGCTGGGATTACAGGCGTGAGCCACCGCGCCCAGCACAAAGTCATAGTGCTTATAAAGGACAGAGACAAGACTTGAAGTAGGGCTTCATTGTCCTTGTTTAATGTTGAACCCTACCACACTCAGAGCTGTTGAAAAGTTTACAATGGACCTGAGGTTTGCTGGTGAAAGAAGCGTGGCAGTCCCATGTATTATAGTGATTTAATAAATACTTTGGCCAAAATGATGTCTTGATATTGAATCTGGTGCTTGGCACAATGCTTTGCATGGAATAGGCAAGCTATTAATACTTGTTGATACTACTGTGTGGAATAGACACACTATTAATGTTTGTGGATATTGTACAGTATTAATGCTTATTGCTTTTACATGGAGTAGGCCCAGAATTAATGCTTGTCACACACATATAAACTACTATAACCATAAATGCACACATACATATTCATCCTTAGGACTTGAGAGAATATGTTGATTTCTTCTACATGCTCTGTTAAATGCCCTTGGTAAATATGAAACTAAATCAAATCAACTAATTTTTGATATCTGAAGTCTATAGTAGCTAATAGAAAAACCAGGGCAGGATAACATCCAAATTAGGGGAAAAACAGAACCTCAGAGCTGTGCTATTCAAAATAGTTGCCACTAGGCACACATGGCTATTGAGCTTGTGACAGGTGGCTAGTCCTAACGGAGATGTGCTGTGAGTATAAATTGCACATAGACTTCAAAGACTTAGTACAAAAAGCTGTAAAAATCACAATAATTTTCATATTAGTTGCATTTTAAAACATTTTTGATACAGTGGGTTACATAAAATATATTATTAAAATGAATTTCACCTGTTTGCTTTTGCTTTTTTTACTATGGCTGCCAGAAAATTTAAAATTATGTAAGTGTATCATAATACTTCTGTTGGACAGCAGTGTTCCAAAAAAGATTTACTATTTAAACAGAAAAAAGAGATTGGGGTACATATTCCCCTCACTCACACCTCTTACCATCTTTCTGTGTAAGTATTTAACTCATTTATTTGCTTCATTGAAAATTTATGAAACTATTTTGGAAAGTGCAGACCATTATGGAAATCTAACATATCTTTATAATCGTTGTTGTTCTTAAGAATGAAAATACTTGGCTAATAGATTTTCTTTTCAGAACACATTAAATATTTACTGATCTCAGGCTGCTTACCTCTTTAGGGTAAGTCATTAGGCTGAGTTCAATTAAATGCCTCAGTTTCCTCATCT
The DNA here is from genome assembly GCF_000001405.40 of Homo sapiens. Lineage (NCBI taxonomy): Eukaryota > Metazoa > Chordata > Mammalia > Primates > Hominidae > Homo > Homo sapiens. The sequence continues at coordinate 36,533,506 of NC_000015.10, read as the reverse complement.
ATGTGCAGGAGTCTCTGAGAGAGAAGGTCTGCTCCCAACACCCACGGAACACAGGACTGTCAGAACAATGAATAATGTGGCCCCATTGTTGCTGACAGATGGGAATCATTCACTTCTTAGTGTATGTTTTTTGAAATGGTTTTGAGTTTACGCCCCCATTGCGGCAGTTGCCATGGTCATATGCTTTACGGCATGAGCCCCTTGCCCCTTACTTTGCCTTCCCAAAAAAGACAGAGCTTTGTTGCCAGTTTCACAATTGTAAAGATATTTTACTAGTCAGTGCTTTTGTAATCTCTTCTTGTATTTCCCATTAAACTGAGTAATTCATAGATCCAGATAATAAAATCTATCAGATACAGAAAGAGGCAGAATCTGATTCCATTTCATTAGAAAGTGCCCTAAGAAAGTCTCTTGCATGGGGAGTTGCTTCTAAAGTTCTCTCTGGCTCTGGCAATTTGACATTTTATGCTCTTACTTTTGGCATGGAGGCTCTTTTGCATTTTTGGTTAGTGGCAGAAGCCAAAATGTCTCCTAGAAATGTCCACTTTTGTCCAATAGAAGAAAAGATGAATATTTTGAGGGATTTTTTTTTTTCCATTTCACCCTCATCTTTGTTAGTGTATCTGCACTCCACCTGACCTTTCTTGGTTCTGTTTTTAATTCTCCTCATATACCAGCTTTTAGTGAAGACTGTGTGCTTTAAGTAACGAAGGTCAAATTTCTGAGCCCTTGTATGCTCGCCCAGTGATTTCTAGCCCTCTTTAATCCTTCCCTACACCAACTGCTGCGGTAATGAGGGGCAAGGGGCGGCTGAGGATTGAGGTCACGGGCTTTCAGTTTGTAGTTATATATTTCATTTCTCTGGTGCTTACGTGGAACAGCTCCTCTTAGTTTCCAAGAGGTGGGTAAAAAAAAAAAAAGGAAGAAGAAAAGGAAAGAACTCTCGGAATTCCATGAAAGTGTATTGATATTGTTTGTATTTGTCTTTTCCTGCCACATTGTGCATCCTTGTTAGTAAAGGGGAGGAGAAGCTCTCGAAAGTCATAAAAAGAAATGCATCTGAGTGTTCACAATACATGCTCTCACTTGGCCATTTGGAAGAAGTTGTGGTCTTCTGCCCAGAAGTGTCAAAGTAAGGGGAGTTTCTTACTGACTAAAGAATTACCACAGCCCCTGTTCTCCTAATTTAAGGCGTATCTTCTGCCTGTCACCTTTCAGGATGTTCATGCATTAAATGCACCCTATCTTTAAATCTCTGCAGGTATGCATAAAGACAGGATTCTAAGGATATCGTATTACTAATTCAGGACTCCTTAAACGTATTTGTAATTATTCTATAGCCTTTATTGTAGAAGAGAACCAATTTAAACTGTCAGTATGTTAAAAGTCAGTCCTGAAAATCTTAATAGAAACTATATATGTGTTGAATTATAGGCTCTGTATAAAGCTGTTATTATGGTTTTAGACTGTAATACTGAAGACTACTGTACTTGAGGTTTTTGACATTATTCATGAGATACTGTAATAAATGTTTCCCCACTGGGATGGACAAATGGGAAAAAGGAAGAAAGAAAAAAATCACATTATTTATTTGTTTCTGTGTTTATTTGTTCATTTACTTATTCAAAGGCATTCAACAAATATTTATTGAGCACCAATTATATGCCAGGTACTCTGTTTGACATTGGAGATGCTCTGTCTACTGACAACTACATATTAATAAAAAGAGTTTAATAATTATTTAAACAATTTAGAAACTATTTTCCTTTGTTTGACTATTAGGTTTAAAAAAATTTTCTTGGCCGGGCATGGTGGCTCATGCCTGTAATCCCAGCACTTTGGGAGGCCGAGGCGGGCAGATCACTTGAGGTCAGGAGTTTGAGACTAGCTTGACCAACATACTGAAACCCCGTCTCTACTAAAAATACAAAAATTAGCTGGGCATGATGACACATGCCTGTAGTCCCACTACTTGGGAGGCTGAGGCAGGACAATTGCTTGAACCTGGGAGGCAGAGGTTGCAGTAAGCCGAGATCGTGCCACTTTACTCCAGCCTGGATGACAGAGTGAGACTCCATCTAAAAAAAAAAAAAAAAAAAAAATTCTCTTGCTATATGATGAGCACTCTACTTAGTCTTACGGGCACAGTGGCATCAGTTCAAACCTTTAAGGAGCTTACATTCTATTAGCAGGATATGAGATAGACGTCAACTTCTATAATAAGGGAGCACTTGTGGCAAATGCCAGAGAAACGCATAAGCTGCAATGGAGGTACAGTGATGGCAAAGATCACTCTCAACAGAAAAGGCATCACTCAGGATACTAGGGAAAATTGCCAGAGGAAATGATATTTAAGATAGACCCTGAGAGATCCTAACAGGTGAAGAGTAACAGAGAGAAACAAAGAAATTGTAGGAGGAGAGACCATTAGCCAGACATGGCTAAATCCACATGGTATGTATGGCACATAAAATAAAGTGGCAAGACACAAAACCCCATAACTGAAGAACCCTGAATGCAAGACCCTAGGATTTGGACTGCATTTTGTTGGCATTATCAGAGACGATATATGATGAAATGGAGGGTCTCCACTTTTAGATTTCTTTTTATTTTCTTCTGAGATGGAGTCTCCCTGTGTCACCCAGGCTGGAGTGCAGTGGGATGATCTTGGCTCACTGCAACCTCTGCCTCCCAAGTTCAAGCGATTCTCCTGCCTCAGCCTCCAAAGTAGCAGGAATTACAGGCGCCTGCTACCACCTGTTGTATTTTTAGCAGAGACAGGGTTTCACCATGTTGGCCAGGCTGGTCTTGTACTCCTGGCTTCAGGTGATCTGCCCACCTCGGCCTCCCAAAGTGCTAGAATTACAGGCGTGAGCCACTGTGCCCAACCCACTTTTAGATCTCTGTTTTTTTTAGATTTCTTTCTTCTTTTTTTTTGAGATGGAGTCTCCCTCTGTTGCCCAGGCTGGAGTGCAGTGGCACAATCTTGGCTTACTGCAAACTCCGCCTCCTGGGTTCAAGCAATTCTCCTGTCTCAGCCTCCCAAGTAACTGGGACTACAGGCGTGCACCACCACACCCAGCAATTTTTGTATTTTTAGTAGAGACGGGGTCTTACTAAAAATTGGCCAGGCTGGTCTTGAACTCCTGACCTTGTGATCCACCCACCTCAGCCTCCCAAAGTGCTGAGATTACAGGCGTGAGCCACTGTGCCCGGCCTAGATTTCTTTAATGTTGCAAGTAAGTGCTGGGAATCTTGTAGTGCTCAAGAAATGGTGAAGAGAAAAGCAAGCTTGCATCAGAAAATAAACTTCCAAGGCTTTATAGTTCTTGCTTTGTTTCTCATTTTACTCATCTTTTTTTCTGTGCTAAGTCTTTTTCTAAGCTATTATGGTTGTGAGTTTTATAGAATAGTGCTGGAATTGTTAAAACATTCACATTAATGAGTGAATGATAGCAAAGCATCATTATATTAAAACTTTTCTAAAAGTCAACAGTAGTGTTTACTTTGCACTAAACCTGAATCCTTGCACTTCAGAGAGGTAATCTTCAACCATGTTGGACATGACTCTGAACTGAAGATTCTAAGGGCGAGTGGCACCGAAGCAAGTCGGTGTTCCCGTTAGAGGGATTCCATGCAGACGCTTAATGCCCCCAGCAGCTGCGTTATGAGAATGGAATTCCCCCAAATTGCCAGCACTTAGGCATAATAAAAGGAACTGAAAATAGTGAAGTAGAAGCAGACAGAGAGAGTGTCTAAGTGAGAAAACTTCTAGACTGTAAAATTCCATCCCTTTTTATAACTTTCTGAGAAACCCTCTTCCAGATTATGTTCTGAAGAGCAATCAGATGAAAATATTTGGGAAATTATTGTGTGTATGTTTATGTGGGGGAGTGTTAAATGCACACATTATGGCTCTAGGTTGCACATTAATTTCAAAATGTTACATATAATACTTAAATACTTTTTTTCTTATGAATGTCCACTTGATACTGCAGTCTATAGAGTAACAAGTGAAAGTCCTTTCCTGCCCTGAGGACTCGCTTCTCACCCTTGTCTTTTCTTGTCTACTGTCTTAGAGGTTATCACTGCTATCAGATTTCCAATTCTTTGGGACTTTTCCCATGCATTTACACACACTCACACTCACCCTTACATACTGTTTTACCTTGTTGATTCATATAATATATATTGTTCCACAACTTGCTTTTTGAGAACATTCCACTTGTACATATAGATTTACCTTATTCTTTTAGTTGTTATATAGATCTACAGAATATGAATTTGTATAGCTTATTAACCATTCCTTTGTTGACAGGCATTTAGGATGTTTCCAGTTTTTTCACTACTAAAAACAATGCTGTAATAACCATCTTCCTAACTCCATTCGTGCATATGTGAGAATATCTCCTTAAGACAGATTCCTAGAAGAGGACATGCTCGGCCAAAGAATGTCCGTATAAGAAAAGACAATAATAGGCTATTTCCAATGCATTTATGTAAGATTTTTTAAAAAATCTTTATTCTTTGGCAAAGATCTGAATCTAGCTGAAATTCTAAATCCAGGCACCTATCAAAATCATTCACGAATTGCTTGTTATTTTTTCAGATTATGCTCAAAATCTACTCTGGGAGCAAAATTCTGTTTGTGAAGAGATATGCCAATCACATGCATTTAGATTTAGGTGTTGCAGCTCCATTTTCTGGCTTTACCAGATAAAATTACCCATGGACTTTACAAAGTAAAGCATGGACCTCAAAAGTACATAAGACAATTAGTTAGGTAGACATTTGTTTTTGGATAATACAGATTATACAGAGCTCTATCTGAGTGAAAAAATATGGTGAAATTAAAGCTTATTTTGAGTATCCATCACTGGTTATTTCTGGCATAGTTGTCAACAATGCTATTTTACATTTTGTGTTTCTTAAATGGTCTTCCAAGCACACTAAGCATTTAATACATATGCAAATATTAGCAAAATCTAACAACTTCATTTTTTTTTAAACCTTCACATGCCAGGGTGTCTTAAAATGTGAATTTTATACAATAGGTTATTTAGCTTTTCAACAAGCTACCACAGGGTTAGAAGTGAGTAAGCCAAAAGTCCTGACTGAGTTTTGGGATTGAAGCTGATGGGAATATTCTCCAGAACCTAGCTTAAGTGGAATGCATCCCCCTTCTGTTGGTCAGTGGCCTTTATAATGTGGACATGGAAAAGAGAAGGTTGGGCATCCGGGCTGTGCAGGTGGAAACAATTAAGATTCAAAAGCGATTTTGAAAACGGATTTGCTTTTCTCTTTATTCTCCACATAAAAAGTAGTGCTAGGTTCCTAAAATCTTTCACCCACTCACTAAATAAATGCATTGGTAGAACATTTGAGGTTTTATTGCTTATGATTTAAAATCTACCTTATAGAACATATGGAATATGTATATATATTCATCTATAAACACACATATATGGTCAAATCTGTGTTTCACATCAAACATCTACTGTATGTTTCACTAGGGAGACAAGACCCATGTGTTTTGCAGAAGCTTTTAAAGCTGTTTCATTTATTTTATTAGCCTTTAATGAATGTAATTAGAACCCAAGTAATTAAATGCAATTGTGCTCAGTATGTTCCTGTTGTAAATTGCCCTAAACAATGTGCATCGTGTGAACAAATTTGTGGGATTAATCGAGGATAGATAATGTTTTTGGATAGTATTTCACACTAAACGGCCGCAGAGAGAAACAAAGAAGCTGGCGCAGTGTCATTAATCTTAGTCAACTGGCAGCTCTGGTGTAATTTGCATGACTTAGACAGTGACACAGGATGAGGCTTGCTTGGGATGGGTGTTAGATCACTATGATACGTATGTATTTATTCCCCTTTAGTCTCCTGATTTATAAGCAGAAAGAAGTTTGTATGTGGAAACGGATAAAAACAACAGTGTTAATGGAAGGAGTTGTAGATTACCGAATTATTACTGGCAATATACATGTTCCTTTGTTTTCATATTGAGCATTTCTGTTTTATGGATGTTAAAAAGACATCTGTGAATCCCTGTCAGGATAGAAAAAAAAAAAAGGCAGCTATATTGTGGCTGGATAGTGGGATACCAGTAGAAGAAGTTTGGCTTTTTATTTTCTTCCTTCTATATCTAATATACATTGATTCATTGCTTTAGGAACCTGTCCCTTTCAGGAGAGGCACTTTTGAATTGCATTACAGAAAACCGTCAAACTCCACTTAAGAAAATATCATTTGGAAATAAGCTCTTGGAAACATGGATAGCAAATGCAAATGCTTTCCTTTTTCATCATAAGATGTAGAATGCAACTCTGAATTACAGAAACAATTAGATAAGACATTCTAAGAAAAGCACACAAATGGAGCTTCAAATGTCATAAGAGATGACAAATAAAAGGTAAATGAATTTGGGGAATTTTGAACTGAAATGACCATGCCCTCATGACCTAACGGACATGCTAATCTTAGCATACACAAGTGTATCTGACATTTATGAGCAGTTGGTCCAGGCCATTGTGTTCTTTTCTTTTGATGGAGATAAAGTTGCTTTCAAAATTACCTATAACGCAGCCAGATAATTTTGAGGAAAGCACATACAGCTACTTTCTTTGCAAGTGCAATAATTATACATAAGCTATATTTAAATATTCGTGAGGGAACCTTACGCACAAAGCAGTGTATCTACTCTAAAGTATGAATATTGGTTCAAAGAACTAATAGCAAATTTTAGACTGAACTTTACATAATTTTTTCTTCTACATACCTGTTTTGTTTTTCTATTAATTTCTTCTAATTTTTCAAAAATTATGTAATCTATCCTTCTAAAATTGAATTACAACTATAAACCTATAAACTTTAATGAGTTTTACCCTCAGCAAAAGAAGACTTGTCTTGCTTTAGTGATTGTATATCTTTGAATAAAACTTGCTGGACTACGGAAACTTAATCTCTCTCTTGTCTCTCTTCTTTCCCTTTCTCTCACATCTATATAGGCACCATAGTATGTGTGTGAGTGTGTGTGGGTGCATGCATGTGTGTGTGGAAAGACCTAATTTTATGTTCTTATTTCACGAACATTTAAAACAACAAAATAATTAACAATTCATGAGCATAACTGACTCCTATTAATATGCCATTTGTCTGTACACCCTGTTCAACATTTAAAGACCTAGGACAGAATCTAACATGAATTTAAAGACCTAGGTAGAATCTAATATGAGAGCAACATAGTGATATAACATTAAAATGAGTCATATTTAACACAGTGCCTAGAAATAGGCACATTAATGCAAAAACTCGTATGGCAGCCTAGCTATAGTTAAAATGATATAGGACATTGTTAATTTCAAATATTAGACAAATCTCTTGGAATGAGAAGAAACATGCAGTTTAATATTGTGGTCATGCTTATTGTTCCAGACTGGTTGGGCATTGGCGTGAGAGGAAGGAAGATGTTGTCTATGTAGTCAACCCTTCTTTCCATGAATGTTATAGTCACTGGAGGGCCATTTGATTTAATAGAAAAAAAGGCGGTTTTTCCAACCCTGGCAGAAATATTATTCCAAAAAGGATGTAAACTGTGGCTCCTCAACTGGGCATTGTAACTGATCATCATATGATTTAGTCATTGTGTTGTGTGAGTGATCACTACCATTTCTATGTTCTTTGTTGTCCAAGTCAAAAATACACGTGTGGCAGAAGTAATTTGTCCAGAGTACTCAGAGAAAAGAATTTCTACTCAGTTGCACAGAGTAAATGAAAGTAATTTACTGAAAGTCTTTGCCTGGTATTATTTTGGTATGTAGTCCAAGACATGATTAGAAGAACCTGTACATGCCAGATATGTCATTAATTGCTGTGTCAAGTCTTCAACGGAATTGTGATTGATGCTGCCAGCTTGCAGGATCTGACTTCCCTTAGAGCATTCGGTATCTTTTTGTATTTATTGCAACATTCTGCTTTAAAATTTGTACAGCAATGTTTCTATTATTGACTTAAATCTTACAAATTCTTGTCTTTACAACCTATGAGATGCTTCTGAAATTAAACCCCCAAAGGCTTACACAGAATATAGACACTTGGAAGAAAAAAATATATATATTTTTTAAAAATCAGAGTTGCATCTACATGAAGACTCTAACTATTGAGACTTTAAAAATAGCTATAATTAAAGCTATTGAAGCATCTGTATTATAAAATCCTATTAAGACACTGAGAAAAAGCGATAAGCCCATACTCATTCATTCATTATTAACAAGTAGGTTTGCTTGTAAGGGATCACATTTTTAGAAGAAGTTCAGAAAATTGTTCTGAAATTCACATTTTAAAAACTTGTGTTCTCTGTAGTTCTTTAAACTCTTTTCCCCTTAATATTCCTATCTGCCAAATTGGTAAAAACAAACAAATAAACAAACAAACAAACTTACTTCAAATGAATTTAGAAGTATGCATATGAGAAAAGAAATAAATTTCTAGAGGCCATTGTTCAATGGTAAAGTAGCGTTAGTAGTTAATGATCTTTGAATGGAAGCTCTTAATGTACCTTTGGTGAAAGATGGTGGAAGATGCTTTGGACTAAGTCTAAAACTGAGGTGCAAATGGTAGTTTTGCTCTTTACAAGATGTGTGATTTTAGGCAATTCTTATATTTTCTTATCTGTCATGAAGGAATGATAAACCTGAGTCTGAACCAAATATTTAAACAGGGTATTTTGGCTGGACTCAGAGCCTGAGACCTAGATGCTATACATGATCGAGGTACATCACTTCTCCCCTAACATGCCTGTTGCATTTAGAGCTTGGGTACTTCCAAGAGGAACTGAGCAGTATATTAGTGAGGGTAGAACATTTATGGTGACCAGCAGAGACAGGCATGTTACAGCCGAACAACATATGAGTTTGTCAGGCCTGGATATGTATTCAGGGCAACAGGGCAGCTCTTCTCCACATGGTCATTCAGGGACCCAGGCTCCTTTTACTATGTGGCTCTGTCATCTCCAAAGTCCTCATTATTATTTAAAACTGGTCAGCAGAAAGAGAAATAGCATGAAGAATCATACAGAGGATTTGTTATAGACTGAATCTTCATCACTTCTCAAATTCCACTGGCAAGAATTTGGTCATAAGGTCAAACCCTAACTTCATGAGAGCCTAAGAAATGTTGTCTACCTATATGCTTGAAGAGGAAGAAAAATTAAATGGAATTAATGGATGGCAGTGGTCTCTGCACCAAGCATATCCCTTTTGCTACATATCTACATATACCTGCATTTATAAATTTACATAGGGGTAGACTAGTCTTTTGAGTTAAAAGAGACTTTAGATCTGAACCTGTCAGTCTCAATCCCCAAATAAAGCTGAAAGATTATTAAAAACACGTCTGATGAGCTACGGAGGCTCAGATCAAAACAGTATTTTTTTAGAAAAGACAGTAGACTCCCTCAGAGAAACCTCTGTGAGGAGCTCAGATCCAGAAGCCAGAAGTTCTTGCTGTGGGACTTGTTACAGGCCTTCACCGGAGCAGCTCTTTCCATTGTCACGTATGCAGCTCTTTGATTCATCGCATGACCTTGGCACCAGTTGGCTGGGTCTGGGGCATTTTGGTATTAGGCATCAATTGCTTAGATTTAGTCATCCCGAAGACCTCTTGGTGTAAAGTGAATGGGAAATGGGGCTCAGGGTCTGTCTTGTAATTGGGAATATTAATACATGAACATCATTTGAAACCACGTACAAGTAAACGTTGGGTATACATGTTACCCCCAAAAAACATTAAGTAACTGCAAAAATATAAAATTTTAGCAGACTATTTGTAATGATGGTCTTCAGTAGCATATATTTCTAAAACGGGATGCAAGTAATATTTTATAATTTGTAGGGTGTGTGTGTAGACTGTATAGAAAACTGTGCAAAATTGGTCCCCATTTTATATGTGAACCCATTTTAAAAGGTTGTTCTTGGCAGGCCAGGCGCGGTGGCTCATGCCTGTAATCCCAGCACTTTGGGAGGCTGAGGCAGGCAGATCACGAGGTCAGGAACTCGAGACCAGCCTGGTCAACATGGTAAAACCCTGTGTCTACTAAAAATACAAAAAATTAGCCAGGCGTGCACCTGTAGTCCCAGCTACTCAGGAGGCTGAAGCAGAAGAATCGCTTGAACCCGGGAGGCAGAGGTTGCACTGAGCCAAGATAGAACCACTGTACTCCAGCCTGGATGACAAAGCTAGACTTCATCTCAAAAAAAAAAAAAAAAAAAATTTGTTCTTGGCATGCAGAGCATGAGGGTCATAAACACTTGTACCTTGCTTAATACATGGGAGGTGTTCAAAAATAGTAACTCTCTTTATTGCGCAGCCATTATACACAAATTATATATGTTCTCACTTTTAAGCCTCTAAACAACCTGATGAAGTAAATATAAGTACTCTTGTTTTAAAGATGAATAAATAAACTGCGATTTCAGTAAAATGCACAAGGTGCCAGAGCTATGGAACAGCAAAGCCAGGATTCAAATTCTGTCAATCAAAATCCAAAGTCTGCATTTATGCTATTTGGGTTGGCAAATAAATATTGACTAGTATAGGCCAGCAATAGTGGTGCAAAGAAGGAGACTGAGTCTGACAGATGCTGTAGGACTAGCTGGGCAAGTGATCATGTCCAGTAGTAGCCACAGGCCCAAGCAGACAATATAGAGTAGCAGGAAGGTAGTTAGACTGAGATCCAGGCAGAAAAACAGCAAGCTACTTAGCCTTTCTGGGTTTTAGTGTCCTGATGCATAGAATGACAGTAACAGGACTATCTACCTCTTAAAGATCCTGTAAGGGTTACAAGAATTCTAGGACAGTGCCTTGCACTCTGGGCAATAACGATTAATATTTATTAAATAATCTTTAATCCCCCTTCAGGTTCTATAATTTTTTTGATGTAAGACTATTAAGGATTTACAGTGAGTTTTGAGAGTTCTAAAGGGGACTGCTAGGCAGAAGCATCATCAAAGTTGCATCCCAGGAGACTGCTCTGTTCCAGGTGGAACAAGGACAAATTGAGTAGAGATGGAGGTTGATATGGTTCGTATCTGTGTCCCACCCAAATCTCATGTTCAATTGTAATCCCCAGTGTTGGAGATGAAGCCTGGTGGGAGGTATTGGATCATGGGAATGGATTCTTCATGAATGATTTAGCACCATCCGTTTGGTGCTATTCTTGTGATAGAGTTCTCATGAGATCTGGTTGTTTAAAGGTGTGTGGCACCTCCCACCTCTCTCTCTTCCTCCTTCTCCAGCCATGTGAAGTGCTAGTTTTCCCTTTGCCTTCCACCATTATAAGCTTCCTGAGGCCTTTTCTGAAGCCAAGCAAATGGGCATTATCCTGCTTCCTGTATAGCCTGCAGAACTGTGAGCCAATTAAACCTCTTTTCTTTGTAAATTACCCAGTGTCAAGCATTTCTTTATAGCGGTATGACAAAAAACTAATACAGAGGTGATGGTGGAAGCAGTGGTAGTCCAGCACAGCTGGCCAGAGACAGGAAGCGGAGTCCCTTTGAGTCATGATTTCTAGCAGGAGATTTGCATTTAGAAGAGCAAAGACAGCATCAAGCAAAGAGGGCAGAGTCATGATATTAGTAGCACCAGGGAGAGCTCCCAGAGTTCCTGTAATCCATGGAAGGCAGGAGAGAAGCTCATTCTCTTCATCCCTGGGACACTTTTGGCTTCTATGGTTAGGTCCACCCATGAAGTACAAATCTTCCTTTCCTTCCTTCCCTCCCTCCCTCCGTCCCTTCCTTCCTTCCTTTTTTCTTTCTTTCTTTCTTTCTTTCTTTCTTTCTTTCTTTCTCTTTCTTTTCTTCTTTCTTTCTTTCTTTCTCTTTTTTCTTTTTCTTTCCTTCCTTCCCTTCCCTCCTCCCTCCCTCCTTTCTTTCTTTCTTTCTTTCTTTCTTTCTTTCTTTCTTTCTTTCTTTCTTTCTTTCTTTCTGTCTCTCTCTCTCTTTCTTTCTCTCTTTCTTTCTCTCTTTCTTTCCTTCCTTCCCTTCCTCCCTCCCTCCCTTCCTTCCTTCCTTCTATGGAGTCTCGCTCTGTTGCCAGGCTGGAGTGCAGAGGCGCCATCTTGGCTCACTGCAACTTCTGCCTCCTGGGTTCAAGAGATTCTCCTACCTCAGCCTCCCTAGTAGCTGGGATTACAGGCGTCACCAAGCCTGGCTAATTTTTGTATTTTTAGTAGAGACGGGGTTTCACTATCTTTTAACTGCTTAAGTGCCTGGATCTAATAAGCAAACTCCCCATGCAAGAATACTGCCATTTTCACTAATTTAGGAGCACTGAAGACCTGTCTGAAATCAAGGCCACATCATCTCTACGGATTTGAGCTTCAGTGGCATTTGAGCCCCCAATGAACTCTGTGAGAAGTGATTCCCGAGAATCTGCGTTTTCCTTGCTCCAGCATCTTCCTAAAACATGACCAGGGGCCCCAGCAACATAAACATCGACAAACAAGAATGCTTTCTCTTTTCCTTATTTTATGCTTTTTGCAACACGTGAGTTGTCCTGGGCCCAAAGATACTAACTGGAGAGAGGATCAGAAGCTTACAGGAGAATTTTGCGCTAAGCGAAGGCAAATTTTGTACACTTTTTTTTTCCCGGGGAGAAGGATTTAACTTGGTGGTTTCAGTCCCAGTTGATCTAGATAAAACCTATTTGACTTATAATCCTGTTTAGTGATCTTTTTCCATAATGTTTCCATCCTGAGTTGCTTATCAACAATGCGGGCCGCAGTGACAAATGAGCCCATCTCCCTTCCCCGCCAGCCTCTAGAAAATAAACAGCTCCCTTTGTAGCTCTGGTTGGAGGAGGAGGGTCTTTTTCCTTGTACCTTGATTTTTCTGGCATTAAGGGAGAATTCCTCTCCCACTTCCTGTTGTCCCTGAGGGAGAGGCAATAAAAGACGTAGCCTGACAACTTTGCAGTAGCCAATTCTGTGGCAGCATTGCTTTGTAAGAGACCATCTTAAGTATGGAGTTCCTATTTCCAGGCCTATTTCAATTTTTACACAATGGTACAAGACTAAATCAGGATTGTTGTTTAAAAACGATAACATAGTTTAGTATCTTGAAGCAGTAATTCAGTAATTTCTTTTGTTTGTTTGTTTGGGTAGGGGAGGTGGTTCTTTTGAGTTAATTGTTCTGAATTTGCAAATGCTTGTCAGTAACAGAAGGTTCATTACTTCATGGCCAGCAGTTTTTGTTTGTTTGTTTGTTTGTTTTCTGTCACCAGGCTGGAGACCAGTGGCCCGATACCGGCTCACTGCAACCTCTGCCTCCTGGGTTCAAGCGATTCTCCTGCCTCAGCCTCCTGCTGATGTTCTTTTTATCATGTAGGAGATTCTATCTTGGATTTGCTGTTAAGCACAGGCTCTTCTAAGCATTAGGTATACTGAGGTTGCTCAAGGGTCTTAAAATTACCCTTCTTTTTTCCTGTGTTCCTTTCTGGTGATGTTGTCTACCCCCAGATCACTAATTACTTTTTTTTTTTTAAGTAACCAAATGTCGGCCGGGCGCGGTGGCTCATGCCTGTAATCCCAGCACTTTGGGAGGCCGAGGCAGGTGGATCACGAGGTCAGGAGTTTGAGACCAGCCTGGCCAACATGGTGAAATCCCATCTCTATTAAAAATACAAAAATTAGCTGGGTGCGGTGGCATGTGACTGTAATCCCAGCTCTTCAGGAGGCTGAGGCAGGATAATCGCTTGAACCTGGGAGGTAGAGGTTGCAGTGAGCTGAGATCGTGTCACTGCACACCAGCCTGGCGACAGAGCAAGACTCCATCTCAAAAAACAAAACAAAACAAAACAAAACACAAATATCTTCTACATTTGTAGCTCCAGCCTAGACCTCTCCTCTAGGCTCAATATCCATATATCAGACCGTCTACTCTGTTTTCTCAAGTGGTTGTATCAAAAGTACCACACACTGAAGACAACCAAAAAAATTTGGAATCCAGTCCTTGCCCTGGACTGTTCCTCTTCCAGTATTCTCTATTTCAGTGAACCCATGATCAGTGGACATAAAAACCAGAGGTCATCCTGGTCATCTCAGTTTCCCTCATTCCCTGTCTCCAATTCATCCTCTTTTTTTTTTTTTTTTGAAACGGAGTCTTGCTCCCCTAAGCTGGAGTGCAGTGGTATGATCCTGGCTCACTGCCACCTCTGTCTCCTGGGTTCAAGCGAGTCTCCCAAGTAGCTGGGACTACAGGCATGTGCTGCCATGCCTGGCTAATTTTTCTATTTTTAGTGGAGATGGGGTTTCAACATGTTGGCCAGGCTGGTCTCAACCTCCTGACCTTAGGTGATCCGCCTGCCTCAGCCTCCCAAAGTGCTAGGATTACAGGCGTGACCCACTGCGCCCGGCTCAAATCATCCTTGAGTTCTGTCAATTAGACCTTCGAAATATTTCTTATATTTCCCCCACTTATTTCCCTCTCTATATTGATCCCTCCCTGGTTCTGATGTACATTCTGCCAGCCTGCGCCTCTACCCCTAAATCTTATATGATAATAATTATTTTGCCACATTACAGTTACAATGACCTTTTGGAAGCACGTATCTTCTCAAGATTCCACTCTGCTCAAAACTATTCAACAGCTCTTCACTGCTCTTGAGATGAAGACCAACATCCTAAACAGGGTTGACAGGACCCTGTGTGAACTGGCACCAACCCGTCTCTAGCCACACCTTGTAGCACTCGCCTCCAATCTTGCAATTCACAACCCACCCTGTCTCTTTTGCACTCTCAGTTTTCTCACCTGCCTCAGAATGTTTTTGAACATAGGATTCCTTCTTCCTGAAGCTCAACCTTTACCTAATTATCTCCTACTTACTCTTATCATCCCAGCTTAAATAACACTTTCTCATGGAAGTCTTTGTGATACTGTAGGCTAGATACAGTCATGAGTTCTTTGATCACAGACACCACATCTATTTGGCTTTCTGGGGATAATATTTCTAGGGAGGATAGAGTAGGGTGACTGGCACAAAATAGTTACTCAATAAATACCTGCTGAGAGGATGAAAGAGCTTTGCTCAGGATTACTTTTGTTTGTCTTTGTTTCTTTAATCTTGTCAAAAGAATGATCAAAAGAATGATTTTTGTCTTCAAAGATTTATATCTTTTACTTATTTTTTCCTCTGGAGTCATCTTGATATTTTCTTTTGACTGTTTCTGTATCTTGATTTTTTTCCCTTTCTCTCAGTTGGTACATGAATATGCATGTGCTTTGATATCTTCACTCAGCATAATCCCTTAAATTTTAGCTGTCTCACCAAGGTTTTTCCCTCAGTTATTATTTCACAGCTTTCTGAAATATCCTCCATTAGAAGTTCTGTCTAAGTTAGTCATCATAAAACACAATTGCACTCATCTTTCACCCCATGGTACACTTCTCAAATTCATTTAACTGTTTCTAACACATTTACTCCTACTGCAAGCTGTGTGGGATTGTCAGAGATAGACACTCAAGCAAGCATATTTCCGACTAGTCATTTTGTGCCCAACACCTTGAATGACTGGATGCTGCTTTTGTTGAAAGGCTGAAGGCATGTGGTGTTTGGTGACAGAATTTTCAGTTTTATGCTAGACCATGCCAGGCAGCAGATGGCATGGGTCATCACAAAATTTATCTTTGATTCTGTTTCATTGTTTGCTAATATTACCACAATATTTGGGAAATGGTTCACCATTATGCTCATTTTTCTGTTTCTTTATTATGAAACCTGTAAAGTTCTCTGATGCACATGGGGAGTAATAATTCTTTTCCTGCATTTTCTTCTCTTTGTTTCTTTCTGGTTTTTTTGAGACAGGGTCTTACTCTGTTAGCCCAGGCTGGAATGTAGTGGTATGATTACAGCTCACTGCAGCCTCGACCTCCTGGGCTCAAGCAATCCTCCTGCCTCAGCCTCCGGAGTAGCTGGGACTATAGGCATATAGTCCCACCTGGATAATTTTTGTATTGTTAATAGAGACAGGGATTTGCCAGGCTGGTCTTGAACTGGGCTCAAGTGATGGACCCACCTCAGTCTCCCAAAATGCTGGGATTACAGGTGTGAGCCACTGCGCCTGGCCTTCCCTGCATTTTCATTGGTACAATTCCTACTCCCTCTTATTATCATTTTTTTTTTTTGTCAAGACCTTGGAGAGATTAGCTGCAAAGAAAATACCTTGTAATAGATTAGTATCTATCAGTTTATATCTATCTATCTACCTATCTACCTGCCTACCTACCTACCAATCACCATCATCTAGTATCTCCTCTGCCATTCATTTAGGATGATCTCACTCTTTGTTTCTTACACCTCTTTTGACTGGAACTGACCCTTCACTCAGTCCTAAGAGCGGGTGCATGGTCTAAAGGAATCAATTAGTGGATTTCATGCCCTTCACTACAGATATTGGTTTAAGCAGGTTGCAGAGCTCAATTTTGACAATAATGGTCAGGCCCAGGATGTTAATTTATAAAAAATTGTTGGTGAATAGCGTGTGTGTGTGTGTGTGTGTGTGTGTGTGTGTTTGTGTGTTTTGAGAGGATTGCTGAGAGCAGAGAATTTGGGCCTGGAGCTGTTGGAGCCATCTTGTCACAATTGAAGAGTGTGCCTGACAATGGAGCCAAGAGAGAAAGAGGCAGAGCCAAGAGACGGTGTGAACTCAAGTCCTGATTTTATTATATGAGGATCCAGTTGCACCCTAGCCAGCTTTACCTCTGGAATGTTCAATATATGTCTCTGTTTTGTTTTTTGGTTAAGCCAGTTTGAATATTTTCTCCCCTATTGTAACCAAAATAGTTATAGTTGGCCAGGTGTGGTGGCTTACACCTGTAATCCCAACTCTTTGAGAGGCTGAGGTGGGAGGATCACTTGAGGCAAGAAGTTCGAGGCTGTAGTGAGCTATGATTGTGCCACTGCCCTCCAGCCTGGGTGACAGAACAAGACCTTGTCTCAAAATGAAACAAAAGGTTGTGGCTAATGTATTCTTTTTTTCTTTTCTTTCTTTCTTTAAAAAATCAATATCTAAGGTGTTTGCTTCCAAAGGATGCTGAGGGAGAAAATACAGTTTTGTCATCAAATTCACTACAGAGGTGGTAAGTTTCCTAAAGATTGTCTAGACCCAGGCATTTGTTTGGCAGTGATGCTGACCCTGGGATAGGAAGTATGCAATCAAGTGCCATAGCAGATGGCCCTCTTAAATTCCCATCAATTCCTGACAATTCATAACACTAGGGTTGAACTGTTACATCCTTATATATCACAGTATGTTGATGATTGGCTTTAGAACATTGCTATGCAGTAGAAACCTAAAGTATATGGTATCTAAAATGTCCTAGAGTTTTGGATTTGTTTTCCCTAGTTTATTCAACAACAGTGAAGTTCCTTCTGTGGTCTACTTCTTACTTTTTGTGTGGTCAATTGAAGTCATCAAGATCTCGTTCAGATGCTTACCAGTACCCCTTTGGGGCCCTCTGGGGGATCTAGGGACGGTGCAGTTGAATCTACAAAGAGCCTATAGGTCATTTAGAATGCTGCTTAACTAGCCACATCTTCTTTCAAGGAATTTTAAATCTTATAAAGTATTATAGCATTATAGCACCCTTATTTACCACTTAAAAAGGATCTTTTTATTCTGAATGTGGACGTAGGCCAGGCGCGGTGGCTCATGAGTGTAATCTCAGCACTTTGGGAGGCCGAGGTGGGCGGATCACTTGAGGTCAGGAGTTCCAGACTAGCCTAGTCAACATGGAGTAACCCTGTCTCTACTAAAAATAAAATTAAAAAAAAATAGCCGGGCATGTTGGCACATGCCTGTAATCCCAGCTATTCTGGAGGCTGAGGCGAGAGACTCGCTTGAACCCGTGAGGTGGAGGTAGCAGCGAGCCGAGATCATGCCACTGCACTCTAGCCTGGGTGACAGAGTGAGACTCTGTCTCAAAAAAAAAAAGAAATTAATTTTAAAAAAAGGATTACATGCTCATTGGAAGACTTTTGTTGTTGTTGTTGAGACAGAATCTCACTCTGTTGCCCAGGCTGGAGCGCAGTGGCACCATCTTGGCTCACTGCAAGCTCCGCCTCCCAGGTTCAAGTGATTCTCATGCCTCAGCCTCCTGAGTAGCTGGGAGCACAAGGAGCATGCCACCACACCAGGCTAATTTTTGTATTTTTAGTAGAGACAGGGTTTCACTATGTTGGCCAGGATGATCTCAAACTCCTGAACTTGTGATCCGCCCACCTTGGCCTCCCAAAGAGCTGGGATTACAGGCGTGAGCCACCCGCCCGGCCTGGAAAACATTTTTAACAAAATTAAAAGTAAGCATTTATGATCCCATTACCCAGAGATATCCACTATTGAAACTTTTTACACGTTTTAATCCAGTCCTGTTTTCTATGAGTATGAAAGCATTTGCTTTTTACTGTATGCATGGTTTTTCCTGCTTTTTACACTTAATACTTCATTATAAATATTTTCCCACATCATTACAAGCTATTCCGAATTTTAATGACTGCACAATTTCCCCCTCTTTGTGTGTTCCACATGTGTTTGGCCATTATCTTATTGTCACACATAAGTGAACGCACTCGGTTGGCTCTCAGCTAATTCTGTTTAAGAGGTGGTTGTCCATCATAGGTTCACAATTACTCTTTTCAAGTAATTAAATTTGTGCTCAGAATTTTTAAAATGTTATATGTATTTCATAAGAGCTGCTTTCTTAAGCATTCATTTGTTATTAATTTATTCACTCATATCTTTTGAGTGCCTACGAGGGGCATAGCATCTTATTCCTAAACATATTTTACAGACCCAGAAAATTATGCTTTAGAACATTTGTATAATGATAGCTAAATTTCACACTTGCAAAATTACAAAAAGCTGTGTAAAGATTCAAGGGTCTTTGAAGCCATCTTTGGTTCCACTTACTTGTCATTATTTAATCAGAAAAGAGCCTTATTGGGACGCATATGGTGTAAATAGTTCAAAAGATATTTGGATGTCTTCGTGACAGAGGGTTTTCTTACACTTCAGCCTTTAAAATGTCGCATTTTATTTTTCCACAGCTATGCACTTTTTTGGAAGGTGGTGCGTCATTTCTTTAAACCAGAAATTAACCGTTTTTTTTCTTTCTATGGGAAAATTTTCTTTTGTATGGAATTCTCTTGGTTTGCAGTAACATATGTGTTTGTAAAAGCAATATGCATGTTTTCAAATTTCCATCATGCAAGAGAGGACTTGTCTGTTCTACTGATTTGAATGGAATTGAACTTTAAAAGAACAGGTCCGTGCATAACCTAGAAATCCCAAAATGCTGAATGAAATGAAAGTCCTGCTTATCCCACCTAATGTTTGCTGGAGAGGCTCAACTTGGAAATGAAAGATAACAACAAAGAACATTTGAACTCGGCTAAGTTCTTACTGAGCTGTCGTGCGTTTATTGAAGGTAAGTGAAACTCAGTTGATTTCATCCATAGGGGGCTTTATTACCTCTTTACGTACGAGCATAAATTACTCTGAATTTTAATTTCAGGTTTGGGGTTTAATACATTCTCAGACTAAAATAAATATTTTATCTCATCTAAAAAGTTTCTTTTGCATGCTGTTATTTGGAGACACATGAATTACAGATTGAAAACTGAAAAGTGAGACAAACCCCTTCATATTCCAAGAGAACTTTTGAATACTTTGAGATTTTACTGTAAAGAACTTATTTCTTTTGTCTAGTATCACTGAAATGAAAACGTATACAAAAACCTGATCGCACTGTGCTAAATTAACATTTGCTTATAGGAAAAATATATTTTTCATTTTCCCTATTTTATTCTTTTAAACTTCTGCTGTTTAACCTACGATGGGCTCTTTAAAATGGATCTACTTATAACCCTATGTGGGACCTGTGTAAAATGCTATCCTCATATCCAAATCACTTTTATTCCCAGCAGCACTCACCTGGCCCCTTTCTGAAGACGATAAGACCTCTCTATATACTCATTTAGAAGCAAAATTCTACCCTGATGTTACATTTTATATTGATTAACAATTAACTTATAAGTTGCCGTTAAGCTTAAGGAATTTTCTTTTTAATGACTTTTACACGTGGGGGATACAACACACACTAAATTTTTTAAAATAGAAGCTTCCCTGAGGGCAACATTTCAGTTCAGTTGCCATATATCATATGGGCCTTTTATGGAATCTTCAGTTTGTGGACACGTATATTCAATGTAATTTTCCAACTTTATTTATTATGTTATAAAGTTTACTTTCAACATTTAACGTGCTGTTCTCAATATCAAGGTATTTAATGTTGAATATCTTGTAATCACTGAAGAATCAAAACTTATGGATTATTAAGAGATATGTACTTATACCACTGGCTGGCTTTAGGACTTTGTTCAAATCAATTAATTATACTTCAATACTATTTGAATATAAGGCAATATTATTCTTTTTTTATAGAGGACTTGAGGCTTTTCTTAGAATCATAACTGCCTTTCTAGGTTCTCACTGATTCTTGCCCCAGTTTTAAGCCTACTGTACAGTGTTTTACTTTAAGGAGTACTCTGATCTCATAGTCTAAAATTAGGGAAAACTCAATTTGGGAACATTTTTTATTTACTGGTTGTGCCTTTAGTAGCCACAGACATATTAACTAATTACTAGGCACGATGACATCTGTCTGTAGTACCAGCTACTCGGGAGGCTGATGTGCGAGAATTGCTTGAGCCCAGAGATCGAGGCCAACCTGGGCAAACAAACAACAAACAAAACAAATAAGTAATTAATTTTTTTTTAGTGCTTACCATGTGTAGGCACAGTATTGTTTTTAAACATCATTTCATCTGAGCCTCACCACTCTATAAAACAGAGCTGCCATTATTTCATGAAGTCAGAATTTGGATACCAACTGTGGGACTCTAGAGCCCAAGTTTTTAAAAATCTATAGCCTATATAACTACTAATGTAGTAAGTATAGCTATTTAAGTAGAAGTTTTCCAGTAAAGTAATTTACTATTTTCAAAATGATTTGATGCAGCTTATCATAAAATATCAACATATAAGACAGTAAAAAATTAGATGAAACAAGGAGTCAGAAACAAAAAATAGAAGGTGAGATTATTATAATTAAAAGCTAAAAACCTGTGCTAAATTGATTACTGCAATAAAACAGTAAACTTAGGAATGCTTCCCACAGACAAGCAAAAAAGGAAAAGGTGATGGGTTATATGGCTCTTACTTAATAAAGGGAAATATATACATATTCTTCAGTAAGGACAAATTTCCAACTTTGTTCTGATACTAAATTCCAGCAATTTATTACATAAATTTTTCCTTCTCTCCTCCCTTCCTTCATTCAACAACTACTTTAGAAATGCCTTTTATGTCTCTAGTATTGTTCTAGTCACTGGGGACTCAATAGTGAGCAAAATAGTTCTCTGCCTATATGGCAAGTGCAGTACTGGACGAAATTAGCCATTAATCTTTTTCTTAGTTTGCGATTACAAAATGGGATTATAGTTCTATAAGAACACATAATAAAAGGAGTATAGTTCTATAAGAGCACATAACAAAAGAATATGACCTAGACTTGGAGTTTAGGAGAGCTTTCCTGAAGAAGTGATATGAGAGCTGAAGTCTTACGCAGAAGTTATCTAGGTCATTTCTTGCAAAGCGCTGTCCATAGACAACAGCACTGGCATGAGCTAGGGGTTTCTTAGTGATACAGGATCTCAGGTTCCAGCCAGGACCTATAGTCTGAATCTGCATTTTAATAAGAACTTTAGTTAATTCCTTTTAACATTAATGTTTGAGAGGCACTGATCTAGAGAAAGGGCTGGGATAGGACAGAGGGAACAAAGTGTTGAAAGTCTTTGTGGCAGGAAGAAGGCTTGACAAACTGAAATATGAGCTATGTGGCTGGAGTTGAGTAAAAGGAAGAGGGGAAATGGCATGAGAAGGTAATGAACATCTATGCACCCTCTGGCCTCTTGAGCGGGGCTGGTAGGCCTGAGAGATGTGAGGTTCTTTGGAGATTGCTAAGCAGAGGAAGAACATCATCAGATTTCTATTTGGAAAACATCACCCTTGCAATATAGAGACCAAAGAGAGAATATTCACAGTAGAAGCAGAGGGCTATTTAGGTGGCTATTCTGGTATCTAGGTGAAAGATGATAGTGTGAAGACAGCGAGAAACAGAAGGGTTTAAATTAATTGTCTTTGATAATGGGTTTAATATACTGGTGAAGGAGACTGACAGGTCAAAGATTGCTTCTTCTGAATGCAATCAGAAGCCGCTGAGATAGGGTATCCCTGGCAATCAGATTTGGAGGGACAAATAATCAGTTGGCTCTTAGACATGTTGAATTTCAGATGCTTTTGAGGCAGTGGAAATATCAAACAGTTAGTAGAAAAGTGAGTTAAGAGTGATCTAAATTGGAGATACAAATTTGGGAGTGAGATTAGGTAACACATTGGACATTAATTTAGGGAACATGCAAAAAATGTTTTTCATAGTAACATCTCTTGTACTGGATTCCAATAACACTTGCTGATTTCATGAAAGCATTTTTATAGAGTGCCATATTAATATAGTCCAACCCCATTACTTTCTATTGTTTAGATTCTGAAATAGAGTTTATAGAATCTGAGAAATGGATAGTCAAAATGTTTTTTAGTCTTTCTCAAATCTTGATTGTCTTGACCATGTTTTGGTAGAATTTGGATGCACTCACTTAAAAATTAAATTCCAGTGCCTTTAGCATGGATACTATATGCTGCCAATTGCCTAGCCCACAACAGTATTTGAATTGCCATTTATTGAAGTGAGAACTGTATGTTTTAGATACCATATTTGCAGATGGCAAAGCTGATATTCTATTGTGAAAATTAATAAGCCTGACAAAACTGTCTACTGAAATATAGTGTCATCCTATTTCTGTGCAAAGAAGGGCTGCTAGGGGGTGTATCTAAGCTGTGATAAAACTAATCTTTAAAATATATTTGATTATGCTCAAACAAATAAAGATATGTTTGCATATCCATAGTGTCGAAGATATAATTTGACAAGGAAATTTAAGTGTAGATTTTATCAATCAACCATATTAGCTATGAAATATAAATGTGGCTCTTATAGAATAAATATACAAGTACAAAATATACTTTCAAGAGGTTGAATGTATTAACCTACTGGGTGGAGAGAGGAGCTGGAATCAAAGGTTAATTATAAAAATATTTAACGACTGATATGGTATGGTCACAAACCAATAAGAAAAGACATCATTCACATTGCTGAAGGTGTGCCCCAGAGAACCAGATGCTATAAAAGGCGTAACTTGAAATAGCTTAGGTGGGGGTATTTTGGGGTTAAGGAACCTGGGTGGATAGGAGCATAGGTGGTCCTTAGGGGAGGGGTAAGAGCATTGGTTAATGGTTAGTGATTAATGATGATGAATGGCAGTATTTCATTATTTTAATAATCAACATAGCTGTTCTGTTACCTACTGCCTGAATACCAGCCCTGCCTAGAATTATACATTTGAACGATAAGAAATGATAAAACCAATAATCTTTGATTTGAACATGGTTAATATTTCGCTATTATTTTTGACAGTGATTTACCAATAGGTTCATCTGCTTTTTAAGACCATACATAATACAATGATGAAATCTGTAATAGGAGAAATGACTTATCTTCATTGTCTTTCATAGGAAAGTACTAATGTCATGCACCCCAATGGAATTATTCCTTTACAAGTAAGCAAGGAGGGGAAGAAGTAAAATATAGACCAGTTTTACACTGTTATAATTGGAATATGGTCTACAAATGATTGTTCCATCCTCCTTTGATTCTGGGAAGAGTTTTATGGTACAGGCTCTGAGACAGCATTAAATTAGAAATCTTAGTTGAGATTGTATTACTTGGAGGACAAAGCAGAACAGCTTGAAATGATCCTGCCATAAACTACTTACTTTCCTGACCCCTCACTGTCCTGGGACTAAAAGAACAAGTGTCAAATAATTGAGAAAGCACACTCAGCTGAATTCAGGTACTTGAAGAATTTCAACTTTCTCTCCTTCATATTGACATGCTTCTGGAACTCCACTCCCTCTTCTACCTTCTCCATCCTTTTTTATGACTATGTTCTGTGTTCTTGGCTATGTTTCTTACAGAAGATGGTGAATTCACCTCCGATTGTGAATGGCAATTGTGTTAGTCTGTTCTCATGCTGCTAATAAAGACATACCTGAGACTGGGTAATTTATAAAGGAAAGAGGTTTAATGGTCTTACATTTCCACATAGTTGGGGAGGCCTCACAATCATGGCAGAAGGTGAAGAAGGAGCAAAGGTACATCTTACGTGGTGGCAGGCAAGAGAGAAAATGAGAATCAAGCAAAGGGGAAAATTCCTTATAAAACCATTAGATCTTGTGAACTCACTCACTATCATGAGAACAGTATGGGGGAAACCGCCCTCATGATTCAATTATCTCCACCTGGTCCCGCCCTTGACACATGGGGATTATTACAATTCAAGGTGAGATAAGGTGAGATTTGGGTAGGGAGACAGAGTGAAACCATATCAGCAATTTATTTATCTTTGATAATTAAAGCAGTCTCATTATTTTGTCTATGTCATGGTTTAAGCTTGGGTCCGTCACTCTGAACTTTGCGTGTGCTCTGATCAACCTGAACATATGAACCAAGCTACTTTTCCTAGACTTTGTCTTACTTACTACTTTGTTCTTTCTCCTACCTTTGGGAAAGTATCTATTATAAATGACTCTGTGACATTTTGCATCACTTTTTACACATTATTTTAATGCCAGACTTTAAAGATTATGCTTGTATGAAGTATAATCTTTTCTAAAATGGCTAGATACACTCATTCAGAAAACTTGATTTGACTGGCTCATAAACAAATTACACTAAATTCTGATTTCCAGAGTGTATTGGTAAGTGGCATAACATATGATTATCACATCAATTGTAGTTTAGTGTTTTTCATTTGTTTGATGAGCACTGTGGAATCCACTGAAGAAGGACAATCTCAGGAAAGAAGATAAGAAAAAAACAGGATAATATTCTACTTGTTGCATTGAAACAGATTTATTAGAGGAATTTGGCTGAATTTTTTCTCCAGTTCATCTTATTTTCAATAACAGATAATAATGATCATACTTATTGAGTACTTATATGCTTATCTGTATTTAAAAATAAAAACACGTCTTGAGACATTATTTGGGAAGTAGTGTTGCAGTGTTATATATGCACTGCTTACCTGGTGGTTACCTAGCTATTAATCATTATACCTAGCTATTAACCATTAATGTGGTTACCACATTAATCAGTGTTTCAATGATAGAGTCTATTGAAATACCATCACAATTTTCATTTCAAACTTCAAGGTTTTAGAATGTATTTGTTGTGATTGAGATATTTTTGCTCTTCCAAGAGAATAAAACTCTAAATGAGAAAATACACTGTTTCTTGAGAACCAAGAGATGAAATGGGAATACTTTCATATTTAAATCCATGGAAAACTTAATCTCGGAGGGATTATTCCATTTGTATAGCACATATGAGGAAATTATGACCTTCAAATAATCTCAGTATTGACTTAAATTTCACCCTCATCCCCAAAAGAATGGGGATGGTCCTAAAGATTCTCCTGTTTAATAAATATCTTTGGGCCACTTGTTCTTAGTGATCTCATGGAGGGGTGGCTTTAATTGAGCCAGTCAATTCCATTTTGGCCTTGGAGGAAAAAAAGAATCTCATTTTGCCCATGATGTCATAGTGTCAGCAGTGTGTAATTACCTTCACTGGGACAATATGCATTATTTCTCTTACTGTTAGAAACGTTTGAGATATAGGATAATTTATAGCATACTCAACTCTTGTCAGCTGTATAAAATCCTGTTGTTTCACTTTCCAGATAATTTTTCCTTGTAAAACTTTCTTTCCTTTGTCTCCTAAAAAATATGCCCTTTCTAAATCTTTTTTCTTTTCAAATGAAAAGACTAAAAGGACTACTTTTGTAATTAAAAGTCATTTTGAAATAACCTCAGAAGATTGTTTCTAGATATCAAAACATCTTTATGGTCCCATTTCTATGGCAAGAAAGACAAGCAACTGGAATCCTGCACATTTTACTGTAGTCTACATTAATTACCTTCTATTAAAAAATGACAAAGACCTTTTTGAAAGAGAATCTGGCACTCTTTCCACAGAAATGATGGCAGACACCCTACTTTGCTGATTTCCTGACACTTCTAATTACCTGTATTCATTTGAAATCGTTTCCTTTGTAGAGAGTTATTGGCATGATTTTCTGAGAACAAGAGGAAAATGGAAAACATTTTAGCAAGTTAAGGAAAAAAAAATCAACAGTATCATTGTTTGCCGCTTTTGTTGAAACTACCTACACAAGTCATTTGAGGGACATGAAGGTAAATGAAAGGTTATACTTTGCCCTGCACGTTGTTGCTGGTATTTGTAATGTCAATAACTGTAGAAGGTTGTCAGGAAACTGGAGAGATAAAGGTCAATAGCAATGACAAATATAGCATTGTATGTGTTTGAATATGCAATATCAGGCTAATCTGCCAGTAGAGGTTTTCACACCCTGGAAATATCAATCAGGTGCTATATGAAACCCACCTATTGTTCTCCAGTTTCCTAGAATGTAGTGAGAAGATTTTAAGATTGAAAACCCACCAGAGAATCTTTTTTAGTAGGGGGTGACGGCGATATCATAGCCATTGCTGAATACACATATAAACACTCATTATTTATTTTAAAAGTGGGATTACAGAAAACACTAAAAGTTATCCAGTTTCTCAGATGCATCACTGGTGGGATATTTAAGCATTTTTCTTCTCCCCAAATGAGAAAGACACAGTTCAGCCTTGCATATTATTCCACTAAGGTGGATGGCAGCTCCTTTCGGTGTTATAAGCTAAATTAAATATTAAGTATGCTTTTCACACAATCTTGACAAAAATTTAGTAGGACTAGTGGTAAACCCTTACAAGAAGTCCTGCTTCCTGTTGATTTTGACATGTTAGAAAGTATGGGCATTTGTATTCAATAATAAATTATTTACAAATAAAATGCGCCATAGGTTACTTAAACTGGGTCTCTGCTAAGAACTGACTTGTTAAACACATTTTCTCAAAGCCAAACCGAAGCATTCAGATTCAGGAGAAAAATGCATCTGTCTTCCTTTTAGTAAACTGTACTAAAGAATTTATTTAAAACCTTTTGGGAAATGAAAAGTAAAAATAAAATAATAAGAGATCTTTTAAATGACTGTGCTTCAAGTTGGTCTTGAGGAACACCTGCAGGATATAAAGGCATTGGGTGTGAAATACAGAGGGATCATATTTTTTGGATATTACTTTTTAATTTTTGCATCTGCTGGTGGTCTACATTAAAATAAAATATTTCGAAAAGTTTGCTCTTCCTGAGACATTCTGCATTTTCTTGCGTATTAAGACCTCTTTCCCTCACCCTGACCCCATGCGTAAGTCATCTTTCCCAAATGCATACACAGACCACATGGAAAGAGAAGTGGGAAAGAGATTTGCTACTGAAGATTGTACAGAGTGACAGGAAAAAGAGTAGGAAGCTCAGCAGCAACCTGAGGTGACAGAATAAGGGAAAAGGCTGGAGGGGACAGAGAGGGCCTGAAGGAGAAGAGAGTTGGAAAGAAAGATAGAAATGATTTAGGGAGGGGAAAATAAAGAAGGGACATCATTAAGGTAAAGTATAAATATAATTTAACATCATAAATATAATTGTTACATAGGAAAAATGAGATTTACTGAACGCAGACAAAGAAGAAAGATAGACTGTAGAGAGTGAGAGAGAAAGGCATAATATTCAGAAGGCTGATCAGAAAAGAAGTTGCTAGATAGAGGGAAAGAAATGAATGTAGCAAAGGGTCTCTGATGTCTGTAGCCAAGGGGGTCTATCCATTCAAGGAACAATAAGTCAGAGGCTCAATTTCACTTTTCTTCTACATATGCCACGTGTAAACGAAGGTGTTTAGGAAGATACATGTCATAGTCACTGCAGTGAATATACAGTGTTCTTGCACACTTCTTTTCATTTAAAAATATTCTATAGATTTCCTTGTGGGGGCTTTTTGATGTCTTTTTTTTTAATAAAGCTCTAATTATTTCCAGAGAAATAATAATTTTAAAAGTCCTCAAACAAAAACCCTAAGTGATTTAAGTAGGGCATTTTGAGTTTGGGTTATTTCATCTTTCACTAGTTTCTCTTTGTATTTGGTTAGTTTTTGATTACATTTCTGACCTTCAGATAAGACTCCTGTGTAAGTAAACAGTCTGGTCAAATTTACCATATGCTAAATGACAGTTATAGAACAGTTCCAAGTTTTATTTATTTTACTTTTTATTTTTTGTAAACTGAAATGATATAAACAAAAGAAGACCTTAACTTTTCTGTTGTCTTCTTGCTTGAAGGTATTATTTTCTTCATGAAGACAACTAATGGGTTTAAGAAACCATAGAAGGACTCATACGCACTAGACATGGGTTAAATAGAGGGAACTTTTCTTTACAATTTCAGCAACTTGGATGCAGGTGCTGGAAGCAATAGAGCCCTGCACTGTTTATGCAAGAGTGTCTCTTCTTTACAGGCTAACATCTGGGTGAGAATAAAAACTTGAAGGTTTAATTTGTTTTATTTTATTCCCCTCCCCCTCTTTTTGTGTAAAGGTTAGTTTGGAGATGAATAGATACTAAGAGTTCAAGCAGTTTCATAATATTTCTTGTGATCTCTGGCCGGGCACAGTGGCTCACGCCTGTAATCCCAGCACTTTGGGAGGCCGAGGCGGGTGGGATCACGCGAGGTCAGAAGTTCAAGACCAGACTGGACAACATGGTGAAACCCCGTCTTTACTAAAAATACAAAAATTAGCTGGGTATGGTGGCATACATCGGTAATCCCAGCTACTCAGGAGGCTGAGGCAGGAGAATCGCTTGAACCCAGGAAGTGGAGGTTGCAGTGAGCCGAAATCGCGCCATTGCACTCCAGCTTGGGTGACAAGAGCAAGACTCCGTCTTAAAAAAAAAATGTATATATATTTCTTGTGATCTCTTTTTTTAAGTAAGCAAGATAGCACAAATAATGATCATTTTGCACAAAGTAAGGCTATTTTTTAAAATTTGATGATTGGTATTGAAAATCAGTTTATTAAATCATAATTTTCTCTTCCAATTTTTTCTTTGCTTTCACAGGACAGTATTAAGGCAATAGTAGAATTACATAGTGATTTTGCTTTTCTCTCTCCTTCGTTCATTGTTATTATTACAGGGCAGTTTAGTCATCAATAGCCCACAGTGGGAACTACTCAGAATTTGCAGAATTCGTCCATAGCTTTATCTCAGCAGACTAAAAATTTAATATAATTTCTAAGTGGAATAACCTACTCTACAAAGTGAAAGTACTGAAGGAGTACTGTAATTTGCAGGTGTTAAGGATGAGAGAGATTAGATATAATTTTATTCATATCTATCTTCTCTATCTCTCTATGTGGACGGATAAAGTATTAGACATGACAGAGGGTGCAGTTGTGAGGAAAATCGTAAATCTCAGGTCCTTTCCGAGGTAAGAAAAGGGTGAAGGCCAAATGCTTCCAGTTTTCTAGAAGTTAACTTATGCTTACTTCCATACACCAACACCTCTCTTCTCTCTCTTTCACACATACCTGCCACATTAGCCAAGTCTTCTTGTTTGGAAGAAAAAAATATCTACCTTTTAGGGTAATGTTAATATTTTAAAGACATTTTTTCTTTGTAAAAACTCACTAATCTTATTTATTAAGAGTTTGCTTAAGGAAATTAAATGGACATATAATTATTTCAATTATCTTTGTATTCTGAAGAAATTGTTGAGGTTCTGATACTGTCCAAGACATTGTGATGGGAATTTAAGCAAGAGAGAACAACCAGCGTAAAAAGGAAAAGTTAGAGGGAACAAGTGAAAAAAATTATAGAGAGGGTTATTGGAAAAAAGCATAAGCAATTAACTGGTGGAGAGAAAAAAATAAACTTTAAATATAAAAAATGAAAGATTTATTGAATTATAAGTAAGAAAAAAGATAACAAGGTTCCACAGTGGATCATAAACTAATTGTGGGTTAAAAGCATAGTCTGATTGTTCAAAGACAAAATACTGACAGATAGTCATTGAGAATTTAGGAAATAGAATCATTCACTTTATATGCATTATTAATCTGTTCTTTGTTATCCTGTTGTGTCCTTTAGCATCCTAACATTTATGCCAAATGTGCAGAATTTGGAGTAGGTCCAGAGGAAGCAGCAAAATAACTCAAGTGTTGGAAAATAGTACCAATAAAACAAGGGTAAAGAAACTGGCCTTGTTTAGTCTGGAGAAGAAAAGACTTGGAAGGAATTAATCGCAGTCTTCAAGTTCATGAAGGAACACAGTCCTTTGCAGGTAGAGGTGAACAGCTGGTCTCTGTTTCCTCTGAGAATAGTACCAGACAGCAGGGTCTTAAATGTGGTAGATGGGGATTTCAGCAAGATATTAGGAAGATCTTCTCCACCGTGCAGGGAGAGGATCTTCAGGATTTAACATGTGTTGAATTATTATTTTTGTAGTCTGCTAGTCCAAATTGCAGAACAAAAAGAGAGAATGCAATCTATAACACAGGAACCCATCCAGGAAAAGAAACAAAAAATAAATAATTGTGGATCTAGGGATAAAGTCCATCTGAGATGAAAGAAGTGCTAAATTCCAGAAGTGCATAAGAGTCAGGATACTTGATCAGAAAGGAAAACATATTACAGAAAAAAGAAAGGGATTAAATAAAGACAAAATAATGAAAATGGAAAGGATGCCATGAATTTAGAATACATTTATAATTTTAATCAAAATTATATTTTGGTGGTAAGAAAAGAATTCTAAATATTTTTATGTACAATACATAACAGCCACCAGAAATTTTAAAAAATACTGTGCAATTGAAATCCTTAAATATGAAAAATAGGGCCAAAAAATAAAAATAGGGCAAATAAACAGCTTTGCCATATTTTATTCCCAGTTTTATATGAAATAAAAAACAATGGGAAAATGAACTAAATTTCTCAAATATTTTTCTCAAATTTCTCAAATTTTTTTCGACCTTTTGATTTTTATGACGGGAAAACTGCGATTATCTGGTAAGTAAATAATACATGTGTACCACATAAAACAAGAATAAACAATGTATAGCATTCAAGAAGCAATATTGTAACAGAGAAATAACTCAGAAAAGTATTACAAAACTCATTAACATCCTTATCATCAGAGATATTAAGTGACTGCTCAGTGATATAGGTTTTATGCAGCTCAAACAAAGGAATATGACCCATGAATTCAAGAAACTTAGAAGGTTATCATTTGATAACAATGTTGCAGTCTAGGTAAATCACCTGGGATTGTAAAATCTATTGCACTTAGATGATGTTTAGGTGTATAAATACAAAAGCATAAGTGACCATTTCAGCAAACTGAATTGTTAAAGGATGTGCATTAGCTTTTAAAATAATTACAGAGGTTAAAATTGTTACTCGCCTTGAACTATGATTGCAATTCCAAAATCAAAATTGTGCTTTATGATCACAAATGTATTATATTATGGGTCTATATAAGCAACTTTCTGCATAGATGACTCGGTCAGTTTTATCAATTTTCTAGTTACTTTTGTTTTTTCAGACAGTCACT
Source organism: Homo sapiens (assembly GCF_000001405.40). Lineage (NCBI taxonomy): Eukaryota > Metazoa > Chordata > Mammalia > Primates > Hominidae > Homo > Homo sapiens. The sequence goes on along the minus strand of NC_000015.10, from coordinate 36,501,707 downwards.
CTACCTCTTTGAAAATGGAATGGATCCTGCTTATGTCCAGCTTTGATGAACAGTCTCAACATTTCACAGTTGCATTTTGTCATCGATAGGTTCAGTCTAATATGTTTTGCAATGCGCTGTTTTTTTTTCCTGATGTTTGAAACTTTTCTTCACTCTAAAAAGCAGAAAATAGAATAGCCCATATTTGAATTTATTTTGCCAAGATGATAGTTATGTATATTTTATAACATTCTGGTACACAGAGCTTAGCAATCTAAAAATAGAACCTTGAAAATATTTTTCTACTGCTTTTTAAAAATACACTTACGAATACTTGTAAAATGATTTTAGTTTGGAAATACATCTTAGTCTCTCTCTCTGTCTGTCTCTCGACAAAGAAAAGCCTTTTGTTCTGGTCTCTCTGGCACTACCTCATTCTGTGACTTTCTGCTGTCCCCTAGTGGCATGTTAATCTTCTTGACTACTGTGTGATTGCCCTGGAACCAATTCTCTACTCTTCTGTGCTTTCTTGTGACTCCGATTAGCAGACATTTAAAATACTATTAAACAACCCATGAGCTGCCTTTTAGAAGCAGTAACCCTGTTCTTTAGCCTAGTTTTGCATTTATGAATTCTTACCAGAGTAAACATGTCCAGGGGAGGCATGCTATGTAGATACATTTGATTATTTCGCCACAATCAACATTTCAGGTTTTCAGAATCCTAACACAAAACTGATGAAAGCAAAATGTTATCAGTTTTGACTGTTCTATACATAACATACGGTAGCTAAAAGGTAATTTGTGACAGGTCAGACTATTTATGTCAATAGGTTTACAAACAAAAATTGCACTATTCCTTTTCCTTTGCTTTTCAAAATTCTGGTTGGTTACTCTCATTGTAATATTTGCTTTTTCCATGGTGACATATTTCTATAAAATATTTAAAAAGATAGAATGACATTATAATATCTGAAGCATTAGATTAACTCATATATGTAAAAACAGACTTGCATCAACATTTACCTGAATGAATAAAAAATGTTCTCAAAATTTCCTGTATGTTATCCTTCTTTCTACATGAATCAGAATTTTTTTTAAATTTAAAGATATTTTGGTTATTTTATCTCCCTTCTGTGTTTTATGTGCTTGAGCTACAATGTTCAGCTCTAATATGGTGTTGGGAAATTTTTCAGTACAGCATTTTAGTTTTCTGAATTAGTAATTTCAAAATGTATATAATAAAAATGGAATGTAAGAACTTGTCAAAAACAATATTTCAGTTTTTAAAAAAATTAACTTTCACTGAAAAAGGATTACTAAAAACCTGGCTTACACAATTCTTTTTAAAGATGGCTAAAAGCAAACTAAGGAGAATTTACAAGAAAAAAGGTCTGGTGAAATCCAGCCCATTAACTGAACATTACAGAAATCTGAGATGTATACTGAACTAATGATTTCTTGGCACTGTCTTGTTTGGCCCTCGTCATGGTTTTGACAATTATCATATGAATAGCAACACTTTTTTCTTTCTGAACTCAGGGGGAAGGGAGTTTGGGAGGGGTTGGGGTGGGAAGGAGGCCCAAAGCCCTGGAAACTCCTATTTCTTAATAATTCAAGGGTACAGTTCGGCCGTGTGGAAGAAAAAAGAACTAAGCTGTAAGGTTCTGTTCAGTGACAATGTTCTTGTTTCTTCAAAGAGAATTTGATGTAGTTTTTGAACTGCCTCTCATCTAAAAGGTCAGATTGCTGCCCAATTTAGTCATTTTGTCTGTTTATACATGCCTCCATTGGGATAAGATATCAAAAAACAAAGCTCTAGATTGCAATCAATCTTGGCTTGAGTGCAAAGTCATCCAGCCAATCCAAGAGATCCTACTGACTACCATGGGGAAAGGGTAAAGGAAAGGTTTAAACCTCCTAAACTTTTTCTCAAGAGAAACCTCTTCTAAACTACTTTTCTAAACCTCCTTAACAAATGATGGAGCTCACACCCCCTCTTTCAATTTTGCCCTGACATCCAATTTCTCAAATTCAAATGACATCGTTTTCTAAAAATATATTCTCCCTCAACCATTTTAATTTACAATAGCTATTTTTCACACAGAAATGTCTGATTTTTTTAGTTGTCTATTCAGATTGTAAGTGTTCCAAAAATGTTCTCCTGGAGTTATTTTTAAAAACTTATGGTACGTTAGATAATAAATATTGTTGTTCTGTTACTGGAAACATTGAACGCAACATATTTGACAGGTTAATAGGAATGAGAATTCTATTTGAAATTTTAATTAATTTTAGTTTAGATAAATGTGCCTTTCAAAATCTTAATTCTAATGAGTAAATGGGAAAATTTATTTAATATTATAGATTATATTCAGTTAATTATCTTGTAGATTATTTGGAAAATAAAAACAGGAAAGAGTTTCTTTATTTTAAAAAAATTAAATCTAGAGACAGTCTTAATAAATCTCCTCTAAAGTAATATAGCATTATCAGTGGCCTATTCTCTACAGAATTAGGTTTTCCAAAACAAATAATAAAGCTGAACAGTCCTACTTTTTACAACTCTGGAGACTATCTAAACAAAATGAACAGATTTATAGGGCTATTTTTAGTGTGTGTCACTTGTATTACAGTTTACATTTGCTTTCGAACCTTATTTGACATTCTTGGGAGAAAAATACAGGCAGAACCCTCATTAAGATCCTTAATAAAGGATAGTCTCCAAAGGGCAGTTACCAAAAAACCAAAGTTGAGGCATGTATAAGAACGTTCCTTTGGACTTCATGTCATGCTGCTTCATTTTCATTTGTCTAAATAGTACAGCCCTGAACCAAAATGCAGATTTATAGGTTCTGTTTATAAAAATCATCAGGCATTGGTATAGCCTACATTATAATAATAACTGAAGTGAAAGCACATTTTTAATGGTAGGAATTTTCCCACAGCAACAGGTAAGTACGCTACACTTAAATAACTATTATTTTTCCATAAACTGTATATTCGCAGTAAAGTGAAAATTAACTTGCTGGAGAAGCATAGTACAATGTTGTGATTTTCTGCAAGCCATTCTCCCATGAATAAAAATGCATGGAAAGCCTTATGTAATGTTACGAAATATGTCATCACACATAGATTTATGGAAAAACCATGTACTATTTTGAAATATAGATGCAAGGATTAAATGTTTCCATTTTGTGTAAACCAAGTTTCTCTAGCAGTTTGTTCCATGTGAGGAGAAAGGCCAGTGCCTTCCATCGTGAAGGGGACCCAATTTCACTTGTTTGTACAAATAAGGAATGAAGAATTCACTTCCCTTTGTTTATTCCGAAAAGATATATCGAGAGGAAAATGTTAGAAATCTAAGACAGATACATATTTAACCGCTTTATCATATTTGTTTTCTTCTATGTAAACGGGAACACTTCGATAAGGTTACATTGTACCGGAAACCTAAATTGACACCCTGTTCAATGCGTTGTGTGCTTTCATATTAATTGTGTTCGTGTAAAACTCCCTAGTAAGGAAATGCCTTAGCTGCAGACATCATTTAGTTGAGCCTTATAAATAGAGCTCAAATTCAAAGGTAAGAAAACAGACAAGAATTGTACACCAACCACCCCTGATAAGATTATGTTTTCAAAGCAAAAACATGTCTACAAAGTGTTGTGGTGTGGAAATGTCCGATTAAATACTTAAGAAAACATGCTTTCCCACAGAGCAGTCTCTTTATTTGCATAAAATCTTTCCTTAGAACAACAACAAAAAAGTAACTTGGCACAACTATTGGAGCTTATGAAAAGTCAGGGTACCACATTTAAACCTGAAAAATAGATTTCTATAAAATTGTGGCTTCATAGGTTGCTCTCTATGAACTTGAATAAGTTGAAAAGTGAAAATGATACATTTGGACTGGAAGAAAGTAACATTCATTGTAGCTGCTGAAAAAATATAAATTAAGGCACTTTGGGAGGTTTCAAACAGTTTGCTATAGACATCTAAGAAAGTAGTTTTATAGCTTGATGAGTGTTTTTAACCAGTTAAAGATGTTACTGCAGCTACCTAAAAGCCACGTTGTAAACAATGCCTTTGATTAAAAGATTGTCAATTTTTTTTTTTTTAGATTTGAAGCTTTCAATTATCCTATTTCTTTGGCTTTGCAGTGTAAAGAAATTACATTACTATTGTAAATTTATCAATTACTAATTAGTTTGGTGGTGAGTGCCTAATTTGGGTTTCTGTATAATATTGGGCCAGTTTCAATTTCTTCTAGCATTGGTTTATCCCGACCTATTTAACATATGAATTAAGCCCAAATATCTTTCAAAATTCAAGGCTATACTTATTCCTGCCAAAATAATAAAAAATAATTTATTGTTGTAATCTTGATTTATGGTTTAGTTAGGCAGAGTGAAAATATGACCTCTGTAGGACTCCCCATTGCCCCTTAAATTCCAGTTTGCTTTACAATGGGTTTGTGTGCTGGTGAAAGTTGGTGCAGCTAACACTTAATATGTCGATTTAAAAATGAGCTGCTTTTGATTTTAAAATAATATTTAAACAAGAGAAGAAAAAAATTCTCTAAAAACATTATTTTGCTCCTTGTAACTTTCAATAACCCCCCCCCAAAAAATAAAAAAGGTAAACGTAGTCGTAAGACAATATATTGCAAGCAGGGACAGATGAGGCATTTTTCAAAATTAAACTGCTATGACAAGCAGTTGTAAGGCAGTCTGTTTTCTTATTTTGGGGGAGAGGTGGATTAGAGGCCTCACAATTGAAAATACATACCCACAGCAACCAAAATCTTCTTTTTAAGATATTCTCTTTTTTTAATCAAAAATAGTATCTTCTTTTTATCAAATATACCCACAATGTTTCATAATTTCGGTGATCTTTGCTTTCCAATTTTGGTGGATTTATTTCAAATTTTTATGACATCACTTTACGTGTTGCATATTTTTGTCCATAAATGATAGTTATTTGTGTGAAAAATAGAACAAAGCATGAAAATATGGCTTTTCTTCTTACTCCGTTTTTGAAGTGGAATACGATCATTAGCCAGGGCTGTGGTTTAGTAGCAGTAACATTTTGAAAAATAGCCTAAATAAGTAGATGTTAAATTAATCAAATACGAGACTATTATTTTTAAAAAATGTATACCATTAAGATGTTTCAGCTATAAGTAATTGTTACGAAGAAAATAGAAGGTTGCATCTTTAAAAAATTAGCATATGCTACCTCTTTGGAGTGTTAAAAAGATTCAGTACTTAACTCAGATTTGTGAAAATCGTAATTAAGAAACTGTTCATGTTTATATTAAAGTCACATGATTAAGCCTGAATTTAGAAGTTGATGATGCAGCAGTAGATGCTACTGTGACTTACTTAAAGTGTTTGTCTCTTTTATAATTTGGAAAAAGCGTCTCTATATCAGCTTTCTCAGAGTCTACAAGGATGCCTCACTGATGAAGTTAAGAACTTTATCCAAATTTCTTCTAGTGTTTTTACTTTGTTACTCAAGTCAGAGACAAAGCATATTTTCTCAGGCATTGATTTTGTTTACCCTCTTGTGGTTAATAAGAATTTATCATTTAAAGGTCCTGCAGGTTGAAATGCATATAAAAATCAGTCTTGATTTCCAAAAACCATTTATAGTGAAAGCAAAAGGAATTTCAATTATTTTATCATGTGGTTTATATATCTAGGTATACTTTTAATTAAACACCAGTCCATAAATAAGCAAATAATAGAAGTTAGCAGGGAAGCAGTTGATCTGAATCATGACAGTTGCTCATTTATCTTTGTCCTAACTAGACAATAGGAAATGACACTACGCCGTTGTTTTCTGTGCATTAAGATTTCCTTCTTAAACAAATGCAGTTGAGGCGGTTTGTTTTCCGACAGCCTAGCACACACTGCCAGTGGCCAGAGTTTTGTCTCATCTTCATCCAGAGGAGGATTAATCTTGGTGATGGTGCAAACAAAATGTATGTCTGGGGTCAAAGTGCAGACTGCCTTTTGGGATCTGCATTACATTAACGTCATTTTTGGGTTCCTGACGTTAATCAAAACCAACACCATAAAGCGTCACTTAGCTAATTTGTGTATTATTGTCAATGTTACCATTAATTATGCGTTTGTGAGGAAAAAGAGGATTAATGAGATGTCACAGGTAATTTACAATGATCAGGCTCCCCAGGACATTAAGAAAACACTAGCTGGGTAAGATTACCGTGCAATCATAATAGTATGCAAGAGGCAAAAGTCTTTGTTGAGGCACCACACTAATATTGTCCATCATCATCCAAATCTGTTTTCACTAGAGTAATTCCTAACTTTTACATCTCTTGTTCAAATTAAATATTTGTCTTGTCCTAAAACATTAGGCCAAATGTATTAATTGTGAGACATTTGTTGATGTGTCTCTCCAAGTTCTGAGGATAAGCTATTGTTTCTCTTGAAAGGTAGGCAGAGTCACACAGGACTAATTCTTTACCGTGCTCCGTGAACTTGGGTTCACATTTAATATCCCTATGACAACAGTTTAGGTAATTTACGTGGTTGTCTTTAAATCAGTCTGATAAAAAGATCTCTTATATCACTGTTTTCTCCAGCCTCGCCTGCACTCACAACCGTGTAAATAAAGGGCTTTTGCTTTCTCTCATCCCATTTCTGGAATTCACTCAGTAAAGAGAGACAGAATAACCTAATGTAAGTATTGTATCAGCACAACGCACAGCGGGGTAGAGGCTCTGAAGTACAGTTCTGTACTGTGGTCTAGATGGCCATCTGGAAACAGGAGTGCTGGGTCTCGGCTTCCCTCTATTGCCCACTTGCTGTGCCATATGGTGAATTGGGATCTGCTCAGAGAACAATCTGGAGCCCCCAAGGGCAAATCAGAGAGTGGTTGGTTCAGTCTGTGATTGGAGAATCAAGCTTGATACAAGTGCTCACTCAGAACCCGAGAACCTAGTGGCAGAGGTTCTGAGAGTCAAGAAAGGAGCTAGAGCTAGGGACAAGGAAGTACTTTGAAAGAATCGGGAGACAAGAGCATGAGAATTATTGAGAAAGAATTATTGGGAAATAAATCTGTGACATTTATTTATTTAACAGATATTTGTTCATCTCTCATCACGCACTAGGTATCATGACAAGGATAGGGACGCAATGGGGAGCAAAACCAAACATGATCCCATGCAGTTGAGAGCTCCGGGCCTCGGTAACTCTATCAGCTTGGCTTCTGAAATGATCACCGTGCTGCAGGATGGAAAATGGATTGGAGGAGAGTGAGAGTGAATTATGGAACGGTGTGTAGAAGGAGTCAATTTAGGGAGAGCATTTACTATTTTAATGTGAATTTTCGTTAACTCATATTAGTTTTTCTTGGTCTTATTTTTATTTATGTGAGGAATTATATGATAAAATTTCAGAATTATATATTTACTTTCACACAGATTTATACAATCCAGGTTTAAATCTCAGCTCTGGGAAACCTTGAACAAATTATTTAACCTATAAGTGTCAGTATCTTTATCTGTGAAATGGAGATAATAAAACTTACCCAATATAGTCATAAAAATTAAATGAGATAATGAATGTAAATTACTTAACACAGGGCTCACCACACAATAAGGGTTTAATAAGGTGGTGGTTTTAAGCCTTAAATTTTTTTCAGGAACACCTGTGGAACTTCAAAAAATACAGCTGCCTGAGCCATACTCCAAACCTATTCAATCTGAATACCTGGGTCTGATCTCATTGTGTACCCTAGATGAAAATCACTGCAATAAAAATTAAATATTTATAATTTATTATTAGCAATTTTATTAACATTAATATCGCAGTGAAACATCTAAAAAATTTTATCTGATGCCATAGTATAGAGGATATGTGGGATCACGAATTTTATCAGGTCCTTATATGTGTGACTATAATGTTTGGGGCCATATGATTTTAATTGTAGCATATAAAGATCTATGAAATAATGTTATATTGCAATTACTGCTTATTTTTGTGTGTCTATGTGTGTGCATGATGGATCTATTTCCCTGGGGTGAGTGCAGAAGTTTGAGATGGCTGGCGTTATAGGAAAGCTATTTTTAAGAAAAATTGTCTATGTACTAGGATAAGGTCAAACCACAAGTGAGCTGAACTTCACCATCTATTAACAAACGAAAATAAAACATTTATTACATTGTCCATTCTTGCTTTTTTATATTTACGGTATATTCCAAGGAGATTTCCCTGTTGGGATAAAATTTCACAAACAGAGAGGGGAAAGGAGGGGGAAGTTTAAATAAAAATCTTTTATTATTGATTTGGCATTGTTGGGGCTAACCACATAGATTGTGAAAATAATATAGTTTATTTCTTTTTTTTATTGGCTCTACAAAGTAATAGCTTAGCATAGCTATTAGTTTATCTTGTAACTAACCTTTGAACTACTTTGTGAATTGGTTGTTTTCCAGAAAGCAGTATAGTCAATAAAATAAACACTGAAAGATTCTTAATAGCATTAAGTGTACTGAAGGAGAAGATTCTGAAGACAAGCTCTGCTCTTCCTCTGGACTATGACATTTTATGGACTTGAAATTTCTTACTATATTATCATGGTCCTTGCAGTGAAAAAACCCCTACTCTAAGATTTGCAATCTACCCATTATAGAATTTATTCATGCTCTGAAATTAAATGGACAGTGTGTTTAATTATTTACCGTACTGGCACGGGATGAAGAAAAAGCTATATCAAAATGTTCTGGCCCAAAGGAAGTTTACCAAGGGATTAGATATTATACATAAAGATCTAGTCATTTTATGACTATTTTTTTTAATGTGAGTGATCATATGTGAAACTGTGTATAAGACCCACTGAAATTATTATTTAAGACACCAGAAATGTGTATATGTTCATAAGTTTTGTTTAAGTGCACTGTTGTCATCAGAAACCAGGATTGCCAAGATATCTACTAAGTAAAGAGTAGAAAATGTTGCTCAGATGACTACACAAATTCCTCTTCAACATAATCATGAAAAAACTTTCCAGGATTGGGAAGCTTCTGTTTTATTTTCATGTCCAAGAGAGCTGATTAAGAAATTATCATATCATTTCTGTCTTTTCAACTACTGGCCAAGACATCCTGGTAACCCTCTAGATCACTACAATCTTACATTGTCAATCAAACATCACCAAACCTATAATGCACTTAGAGAGTATAAAGCTATACATGATCAACATTTCCAAAAGGAGAATCCTTTCAACATCATCAGTTCACCAGGAAAAAGTGTATCCTCATGTTAAATACCTTTGAAAAATAATACATTTATATTTTCCTCTTTGAAATTAACCATGTGCATTGACTTATTAAATGCTCCTATTATAAATAAATATTTTTAACTCTGAAAGTTATTTTTGCTCAGTAAAACATGGATTTCTGCTCCATGGGACACACTCTAGGTAACATGGCAGTAGATATTTTCTGTCTCCATTAGTTGGTCCACGGGCAAGCCAGTGGGAGACGGGAGTTATTAGGAAGTGTGAGCAGTTGAACCAGCTAGAAACAGAATAACCAGGGGAAACCCAGGGCTACAGCTGGCACACCAGTGCTGATTGTCAGGTCTGTAGAGTGAGACGAGGGCCAAAATGGTTTTGTATTTCAGAACTCTGTAAGTAGGTGACCTGCACTGGAAGGATTTCACCTGTGAACTACATTCAAATGGAGACAGAAATACCAACAACATCTGAAATGTAAAAAGCTGGTACAGAAAAATATGTATAACGCACTCAGACATTCTCTGCCAACAACATCTGAAATGTAAAAAGCTGGTACAGAAAAATATGTATAAGGCACTCAGACATTCTCTGCATCTTCAAGGAGCTGGAATCACTGGGTTCTCCTTATTCACCCTATGTAACCTTTCCTCTACCTTTGTCACCTCAGATACCTTCCCTCCTTCTCCCTCCACTCTGGATGGTGGCTGGTCTTCATGTTTGTTTTGTTTTGTTTTTAACTTTCTTCAGGGGTACTCATTCTGATTTCCAGCAGCTCCCTTATTTGATAGTTTGGGTTTGTATTATTGACTGTGACTTGAACTCCAATTTGATTAACCCCACAAATGACTTTTCACCAAGAAATACTCTAGTGCATGTTCTTGCAAAGACCCTCTCTTCTACCTATATAGAATCTTTCAGAAGTGAAGACAAAGGAATGCACTGAAACATCCTTTCCTTATCTTGGTTCTCTGCCTCACAATTTTTCCTCTCCCTCGTCTTCCTCCCCTGCCCCCTTCTCTCTCCCTCTCCCTCATTCTCCTTCTTCCTTACATTCTTTTTCAAATCACTGGGGCTCCAAACTCATTAAACTTTAGGTTCTTCAACTATATCAAAGTGAATAAATCTGTCCCTTAAATTAGTACAATAAGTTAATAGATCTTGGCACAAAAGATGAACACGAGGAAGAAAAAGTAGTAGCCAAGAAACACAGGGTTCTGAATAGGATTCTTCTTTTCTCCCTTGTTTTCTAAATTCAGCTCTTCCTTCCTGCATCCTAACCTCCATGCAGTCATCACTGGCTGCACTGCCCTTCAGGTGACAGTTGAAAAGTCATTTCTTCAGGGACCTCTTCCCTTACCATCGATACATAGTTAGATCTACTTTTATATGATCTTTAAAACTCTATAGATAGACTGCCTTAGATTTAATTAACAATCTAGATGTAGATACAACGCTACAGTCAAATGTTATCTATTCAGAAATTTTGTACAATTCCTGGACAATTAGAAATGTGTGACAAATTCCTTCATTACCGTACAAGAATATCTCTGTAATAGGCAGCCTGTACAATGGCTCCTTAAGATCCCCCCTCCTGGAATTCATAGCTTTGTGTAATGTGTCTCCACTCACATGTGAGCTGGACACCGTGACCCTCTTGTAATGAAGAGAACACTGCAAAAGTGATGAGATATCACTGCCAAGATAAGGTTACAAAGAGATGGTGACTTCCATCTTGCTGGCTCTCTCATGGTCTCTCTCTCTGAGCCCTTGCCCTGAGAAAAACAAGATACCATGTTGTGAGTGGCCCAATAGACAGAACAAGATAGCAAGGAACTGGTGCCATGCTAATAGCCAGTGAAGACCTGAGGCCCACCACCAGCCACTCACCAGTGAGCCAGCTTGAAAGTCAATTTTCCCTTGGTCCAGCCTTGAGATGTCCGTCACAGCACATTGATTGTGACACTGTGAGAAACCTTGAGTTAGGGAACTCATCTAAGCCAAGCCTGGCTTTCTAACCACAGAACCAGTGGGAACAAATGTTGTTTTAAGTCATCAAGTTTTGTTTTGGGAAAATTTTTACTCAGCCATAGATAACTAATACAGATTTTGGTACCTGGAGGTGATGTGCTGCCGTGGTGAATAGTGGGTCAAGTCTGGAAGGATTTTGAGGAGTGTGTCAGAGAAAGGCTAATTTTCCTTGGAGGTCTGGAACGGATTTCATCTGCATCTCCTATAAATTCGGGCTAACAAGAAAACATTAACAGTAAGTTCTTGAGTTATATTTGACAGGGTTCTCACCAAAAATGCTGAGATTAAGGTGCCTTAAATATGATAGCTATCCAGGCTAGTGAATATCTGTAATTTCACCTACTAGTAGCCTTTTATATGCATAATTTCAATCCTCTAAGACATATAACATATACCACACACAGCGGATGTGTATGGTGATTTGATGTGGGCCAGGATGCTCTTCTACAGCTTTTTACGAGGTTGTGAGTTCCCCCATTAACTTTTTATGGGTATCTGGCTCGAATCTGTGCCTGTGAATAAATGATCACCCTTTCTTTTTTTTTTTTCCTCTTGTGGAAGTAATGCATTTCCATGCCACTTCAAATCTTGGTTCCATTTGCTAAGTAATTTATATTATAAATATGTTCTTAGCTCATGTATAACTTTCTTAAAAGTTTGATTATCTGATTTTACTGCAAAGAGAAATTCCTTTTTGCAACATCTTGAACTAAATCTATTTAGTGATTTTGTTTTCATAAGTAGGAAAAAATTTGTTATCTACCCTGAAGGAATTTGCCCTCATGTATAATGGAGAAAGAGATGCTTATGGTATAAGTGTCTAAAGACATTTGAGTCAAGACAGTTAAGAGTATAATATTGTGATTTTTAGATGGCATTCCTTTGAAAGTGAATATAATTAAATATTTTTACGTATTATTAGGTAATGCATCTGTATCTATCTATCTATTTCTATACATCTATATCTATCTATGTAGCTATCTCTGATTTAACAGAATCCATTTCTCATTTCATTGCAATGGGTAAAAAGAAAATGCAAGTCTAACCAATCTATGTTTTAAAATAATGTTGTATGTAAATTGGGGTCTGTTTAGATCAAGCCTATTCATTTAGTATGACCTCTCCTTTTCCACGTAACTTAAGAAACAGGATATCTGTGCATCCTTCAATTACAGCCCAGTGAGAAAAGAGGTAAATATGGGAAAATGCCTTTGGTCCCACTGGCATGTGATTATTCCGCAGAATTTAAGTGATTTAGTAGTAACATGGTCCAGCCTTCTGGACTGAATCGTTTCAGCTTCCATCACCACCTAGTACTTATACACATACATTTGAAATAACCTGTATTAATGAAAATTACCTACTGGTCAATCTTACATATAATAAGAGAGTGCTGCTTAGGTGGTATGCTTTGAAGAATTTCTCTGTTGTAAAATATCTTCCTCCACAGCGTGCCACAGAGTTCCAAATTCCAAATATTCGTTTATCCATAAGGGTCTATAAAGGAGCTATACATTTCAACCAGCTTAAGCCATCCCTTGAAGAGGGGTTAACTAGTAGCTGGTGGCTAGTTAGTTTGTAAGGATTAATTAGCTTATTTGAATAATTGCTACTCATAGTTATGCAGCAGAAGGGCCTCAGGCAATAGACGCACACAAGATTGGGTTTGATGGAAGTGGCTGAAACCAATACATTGTATTTAGGGTAACTAAGCTTAGTGACCCCTCTATCTCCATTCCCCGTAGATGAGAGCCCTGAAAATCTAGGAATCAGATAAACATGGAAGCAAAATGGCACCAAAAAATGGCAGAGCAAGGTCTTGAAGACACATTGTATTTTTGTCCATCTTGCCTAGGACTGGAATTTGTTACATTTCCTTTTTTTGTTAAATATAAACAACTCATAGATGAAGACTGTATAATAAATTTCTATGTAAGGACGTTTATTTAATTTATTTATTATTGTCTTTAAAATAACATATTATAATGAAGAATTCTTATTTTTGGAATGATTTTGTTGATAGTTTCAAGTGCATTTTTCATAATTCCACTATTAGAATTTTTATAATATTTTAATGGACATCAGGTACATAAAATTGGACTCCAATAATCTTTGGTCATCATTAATCCACTTATGGCCCTGTAAATGTATTCATTCATGCAGTGTGTTACACAGTCAGTCATGAGTCCACTTTTCAACACACAAGTTGAGGCCTTGACAGTAACTTCTGTCTGGCTATGTGGTTCTCCTCAGTCCCCTCATCTGTCTTTTCTTACCTAATGCAATCACCATCCCAAGTCCTGTGATCATTGTTCTCTTGCATTGCTTCTTATATCATTTTATCCCATCTAACTGTATTTCTAAAAAGCATATTTATATTTTATTTTCATTATTTTTAGCTTTAAAAATATGCTTTATGTAGACATTAGTGACATTTTTAATATAAAATTATTAAGATTTTCTATATTGCTGCATTATGAATATCCACACGGTAAATTCATTCATTTTGATTGTTGTATATATTTTGTAAATTATTTTTTAACTGAAACTACAGTCTCCCTTTTCTTTCCTTCCTGCCTCTCCTCCGTAACTCCACTCTCCTTTTTTCTTTTCTCCCTGGTCCCTCCTGTCAGTCCTGCTCTTACTCCTGTATTCAGGACATGTAATTGCAATTACCTACTACACATCTGCACTTGCAAGTACTGTAGTTACCTTCAATCATACTTCTAAAATAGATTTCCCATATATATATATGTATATTTTGAGACGGAGTCTTGCTCTGTCGCCCAGGCTCGAGTGCAGCGGCGCCATCTCGGCTCACTGCAAGCTCCGCCTCCCGGGTTCACGCCATTCTCCTGCCTCAGCCTCCTAAGTAGCTGGGACTACTGGCGCCCGCCACCACGCCCGGCTAATTTTTTGTATTTTTAGTCGAGATGGGGTTTCATCGTGTTAGCCAGGATGGTCTTGATCTCCTGACCTCGTGATCTGCCCGCCTCGGCCTCCCAAAGTGCGCCCGGCTATATTTCTTCACTCCTCACAACTCAGCATCAGAGGACCTTGGGACATAAGTTAGCATTCCAGAAAACAGAGTTTGAAAATAACTGTCTGAAGCAGTAAACTGATGTATGCATAGATTAGGAATCTCTTTATAGTTTACTTCAGTACTTCTTAAACTTCAGTGTGTTTCAGAATCATCTAGAGTGCTTGTTAAACCATACGTTTCTGGACCACCCTCCCAGAGTCTCTGTTTATTAAGTATGGGGTGGAGCTTGATAATTTGCATTTCTAACAAATTCTCAGGTGATGCTTATGCTGTTGGTCTGCAAACCACTCTTTGAGGACTATGGGTGTATTAGAATTTTTTTTTTTTTTTGAAATGCACCTGGCCCCAAACCTTTTATTAGTCTCAAAGGATAGAAATAGGTTTGGGAGCTGATGTCCAGTATGCCCATGGTCAGTAATCTAGCTAATAATCGAATAGTCTTTCAATTATGCAAGAAGAAAATATTGATTCTTATTTTAAATTCTATGTGCAAATTCAAATTAATACTTGCCTGTCTTGTATACTGGCCAAGGATCTTGAAATTCAAAAATGAGTAAGTTTTAAGGTGGTTTCATTTATTTTCATACTTTTGTTGCATGCATTCTGATCATATTCTTTAAATACTACTTACCGATAAATCTCACTTTACCCAATAGATGTGATTTTGATAGATTGCATGTAGGCCACAGTTCTGTATACGAAATAATATCTTAAATGCACAAAGGGAGCCATCTATTAAAAAATTTATGTTAAAAAGTTCTTTTGAATTGTACATAATTATTCTTCAATTTATATCTTTTGAGAATTTAAGATTCTGCCTATAATGTTGTCTTGAATGCAGCATACATACACAAGAGGTGCAGTAGTATCTCACAGATGCACCAGGAAGACAAGAGCTTTTAAGAGAAATAATAACTTCTCTTAGATATCCATGTGCAATTTTAATGGCAAAAGTGGTACATTTTCACTGGATGTCATGCACAACTTCATGCCTGGCTATCTTTTTCCAGCTCATAAATGCTACTGATTTGCAGATGCTAGGCTGCTACAATATCCCTATAAACCTCTCTTAGAAGAAACACAGCTTCCGGCCTGGCGCGGTGGCTCACGCCTGTAATTCCAGCACTTTGGGAGGCCAAGGCAGGCAGATCACCTGAGGTCAGGAGTTCGAGACCAGCCTGGCCAACATGGAGAAACCCCCATCTCTACTAAAAATACAAAATTAGCAGGGCATGGTGGTGCATGCCTGTAATCCCAGCTACTCAGGAGGCTGAGGCAGGAGAATTGCTTGAATCTGGGAGGTGGAGGTTGCGGTGAGCCAAGATTGTGCCATTGCACTTCAGCCTGGGCAACAAGAGCAAAACCGTCAAAAAAAAAAAAAAAAAAAAAAGAAGAAGCATAGCTTCCATCAAAGTAAGTCTTTAAAAATATTTATCAAGCTGTAATAAACAACACTCCTCAAATGTGTTGGATATAAAAAAATAACCTCTTGAGGGGCGACAGCAGTGCTGTTTTTACTCATAAGGTGCTGCACCCTTGCCAACACTAGTAAATGATGTGGTCAGTGGGGCTCATGAAAATAAAACTTTTCCCTTTTTCTTTTTTTTTTAATCTGAGGTGATGATCTATATTCTTTTCCTGAGTTATTCAAATAGATAAAAATAACATCTTTTCAAAAAAAACTGCTCCCAGCAGGCAAGAAGATATTTATATTCAGTACTGAGAATAAGGATCTATAGTTAAGTAAATGGAAATGTACTAGATCAAATTATATCGCCTTTAGCAAATAATAGCAGTGTTAGCCCCTTGGTACTGACCAAGTTGTTCAATATCCTTATTAACCTGTGTTATTTAAAGTGCGAATTCAAATAGCATAGGAAAAATTTTGGCTGCAATGGGAAGTGGTTTCCTTCTGCCCCAGGACTGAGGACAACTTGGAAACTTGAGCGATGCCCCTATGAGCTAGAGGGGACCATGAGCCCACATGAGTCTAGTAGCAGTAATGGTCCATTGACCGTATTTGGGAAATTCATCTGCGGACTGATCCACTCCATAAAAGCAAAAGAAATTGAGACAAGGATGAAAGGAGGAGGAAACTTAATAGGAATTAAGTGCAAATCATTGAAATAACCATAAATGAAACATTCCTGATGATTTGCCTCACATGAATAGACACTATTTCAGTTATGAGTATCTTTAAAATTCTTCAACTCTTTTTCTTACCCATAAAATATTTTAGTTGTCCCTATGTATTTTTCTCACCTGTTTCTTTTTTGGCTGTCTTTTCTTCTCTCTAATGTTTCTCTTTTGTCTCTCTTTCCCACCTTTTCTCTTTTCTATTTTGATTTCCTTCTTTCCTTTTCTTTCTGATTCCTTCTCTGTACCTCTTTCTTCTTATTTATTCTCCCCCTTTTTATGCCAAGCATTGCATAGGCACTGAACAGATAAGACAAATGATATGCTGGTTTCTGTGAAGAGTAATGAGAAAATAGACAGTAGTAGTAAACTAGAGGCACTGTAAAAGAGCTAAGGGACTGATATTATAATTTGGCATCAAGCACACAGCAGATTAGCTGACTTACGCTTCTAGCTCTAGTCACACTTTCACAAAGCAGGTCCATCATTTATTACCTGTGCAATGGACTTCTAACGTCTCTTCTTTGTGTTGCCTACAAGTCCATCCTTCCCACAGCTGTCAGCCTTCTCATCAGATTTCTCACCAGCTTAGAAATTTACTTCCAATCAATCAACTCATTCATTCATTTGACTATTTACCCAGTGATGAATGTACAGTCATGCATTGGTTAACAGGTGGAATATGTTCTGAGAAATGCATTATTAGGTGATTTTGTCATTGTGTGAACATCATAGAGTGTACTTACACAAACTTAGATGATATAGCCTACTATGTACCTAGTCTATATGGTATATATTGTTCCTAAGCTACAAACCTATATAGCACATTACTGTACTGAATACTGTAGGTAATTATAATATAATAGAGTTTGTGTATCCAAACAGATCTAAACATAGAAAAGATACAGTAAAAATACAGTATAAAACACAAAAAAAGGGTATACCTGTATTACGCACTTATCAAAAATGGAGCTTATAGGACTGGAAGTTGCTCTGGGTGAGTCATTGAATGAGTGGTGAGTGAATGTGAAGGCCTAGGACATTACTGTACACTACTCTAAACTTTATAAACACTGTACACTTAAGCTACACTAAATTTATAAAAAATATTTTTCTTTCTTCAATAATAAATTAACCTTAGCTTACTCTAACTTTTTAACTTTGTAAACTTAAAAAAAATGGTAAACTTTTTGAATCCTTTTAAGTAACAGCTTAAAACACAAATGCATTGCTATGGTTGTACAAAAATATTTTGTTTCTTAATATCTTTATAAGCTTTTTTCTCTTTAGTTTTTTTTTTTTTAACATTTCAAACTTTTTGTTAAAAATGAAGACAGGAACACACAAATTAGCCTAGGCCTACACAGGTTCAAGATCATCAATATCACTGTTTTCCATCTCTACGTCTTGTCCCACTAGAAGGTCTTCAGGGGCAATAACGCACATAGAGCTGTCATCTCCTATGATAAGAATGCCTGCTTCTGAAATTCCTCCTGAAGGACCTGCCTGAGGCTGTTTTACAGTGAACTTTCTTTTTATGAGACAAGAACACACTAATGATAAAAAGTAAATACATAGATCAAGTAACATAGTCATTTACTATCATCAGCAAGTATTAGCTACTCTATATAATTGTATGTGCTATGCTTTTATAAGACTGACAGTGTAGTAGATTTGTTTACACCAGTGTCACTATAAACATGTGAGTTATTCCTTGTGTTACAATGTTAGGATGGCTACCACCACTAGGCAGTAGAAATCTTTCAACTCCATTGCAATACCATGGGACCACCATCATATATGCGGTCCAGTGCATGACTGAATTTGGATATGTTTTCTTCCAGAAATTTTTCTATGCATAATTTTTAATAATTTATTACATCGCTTTTTTTTTTTTTTTTTTTGAGAGAGTCTCACTCTGTTGCTCAGGCTGGAGTGCAGTGGTGTGATCTCAGTTCACTGCAACCTCTGCCTCTCAGGTTCCAGTGATTCTCATGTCTCAGCCTCCTGAGTAGCTGGGACTACAAGCGCGTGCCACAACGCCCAGCTAATTTTTGTATTTTTTAGTAGAGATGGGGTTTCACCATGTTGGCCAGGCTGGTCTCGAACTCCTGACCTCAAGTGATCCACCTGGCTCGGCTTCCCAATGTTCTGGGATTACAGACGTGAGCCACCATGCATGGCATATTACATCACTCTTAAGGTAAAAGTCTTTATTCCAGGGATTTGATAAATTTTAGTTTACATTTTCTTTTTCTACAATTTATCTTTCCTTATTTCTTAATTTTTAAATTTTATAAGTTTTTTGGTAATAATCTTTACATAAAGCTGAAATTTATTTTGGACCCAAATTGATTATAGTCTCCAAAGACCAAAAAATAACCTCTAAAACAGATATTGAATTTTTCTTCATTGTCTGGAGATTATGCTAGATTTTTAAAGTGGGTTGCTTGGAATCTTCATATAGCTATGCAAGACAGGCATCTTCACATCTATTTTATAGCTGAGAAACCAGAAATTCTGAGAAGTTAAATCATTCTTCAGAGGTCAAACAAGTTGTAGTGATATACTGAGACTCAAATTTGGTGCTAATTCAGAATTTATGGTCTCTAGTTCACTAGGAAGCCTAAATGTGGAATTAGTCTTTACATACTTCTTTTCAAAGCTGTATGTCAGATTTTTGCCTGATCTTTCTTTCCGATCAACATTAGAAATATTTTGTTGTTTTTAAAAATATCACAATACACTTCTGATTGGATTTTGTATAATATATACATATAAATTAATTTGGGAAAATGGTATTACATTATGTGTTATCTTTTATCCAGGAATATAATTTTTTAGATGTATTTTAGTAAATTTTTAATAGTTTTTTTCATTTAGGTCTAATGTATTTCTCAATAAGGCCATTTATTGCTATGGTCTGAATGTTTGTGTCCTCCTCAAATCATCTGCTGAAATCCAACCCCTGAAAGTGGTTGGAAGTGAGGCCTTTTAGGAGGTCATTGGGTCAGAAAGGTGGAGCACTAATCAATGGAATTAGTGACAGATATGGTTTGGTTCTGTCCCCACCCAAATCTCGTCTTGAATTGTAGTTCCCATAATCCCCACGTGTCGTGGGTGGGACCTAGTAGGAGGTAATTGAATCTTAGGGGTGGCTACCCTCGTGCTGCTGTTCTCATGATAGTGAGTGAGTTCTCACAAGATCTGATAGTTTTATAAGGTGCTTTCCCCACTTTTGCTTGCACTTCTCCTTGCTGCCAGCATGTGAAGAAGGATGTGTTTGCTTTCCCTTCTGCCATGATTGTAAGTTTCCTGAGGTCTCCCCAGCCATGCTGAACAGTGAGTCAATTAAACATCTTTCCTTTATAAATTACCCAGTCTCAGGTATGTCTTTATTAGTGGTGTGAGAACGGACTAATACAATGACCTTATAAAAGAGGCCCCAGACTGCTGCCTTGCCCTTCCACCATGTGAAGACATAGCAAGAAGACACCATCTGTGAACCAGGAAGTGGTTCCTCACAAGACACTAAATCTGCTGGTGCCTTGATCTTAAACTTCCCAGCCTCCAGAACTAGGAGAAATCAATTGTTATTGTTTATAAGCTTCCCAGTTTCTGGCATTTTGTTATAGCAGCCCTAATGGGCTAAGACATTAATTTTTTGTTGTTACTGCAAATGATACATTTTTCATTTTGCGTTCTAACTAGTTATTTTTTACCTATGAGAAGATATCAACTTTTAAAATACTTTTGTATACATGCTGGAGTTTTAGAAATCAAGTGTTGCAATGTCTTCAGTTTTCTTTCAAATGTCTTAGCCAAAAAATAAAAAAAGAGAGAGAAAAATACACAAACAAATAGAAATATGAATCAAATGAGAAAAAAAGCCAATGTAGCAAAATTTTAACAGTTGGTGAATCATGGTTAAAAATGCAAGTGTTCATTGTACTACTCTTTCAGCTCTTACAGATGTAAAAGTTTCTGAAATGAACAGCTGAAAAAATGATCCCATCTTTCATCATTTTATTGAACTCTCTTATTCTCACATTTATGTGCTGATTTTTTGTATAGTGAAGTTCCAGGTACACAACAGTATCAATTGTAAATTATCATAATTTTCTCTTATCTTTCCTAATAATAACACATAATTACTGCCTTACATCTTTTTGAAATTAGTCAAAATTTCACGAACAATGTCAAATAAAAACACCGGATATAATTTTGGTACTGTTCTTGCCATGTCTAATTGATACGACTCTAAATGTAATTTCTTTTTTAGGTATAAGATTGATATCTATCCATCATCTGTTTATCTTCATTATTATTTAATTTGTTAAGAAACTTTTCTTTGTTGTCCATAAATTATCCTTCAGCATGACTGATAAATTTTATCAATGTGTTGAAAGTACATTTTTTTCTAGTATTACTAATATTTAAGTTTTGCTAGTTTTTCTTACTAGAGACTAACAAATGGTGCCAGCAAAATTCAAGGGACATGGTAAATGCATAATAAATGTCTGTTAAATAAATGAGAAGCAAGGATTAGAGAAAGAGTACAATGAAGAGAAGAAGAATAAAAATAATTTGGATCTTTCACTCATGGTGCCGCCATAGTTTTGACTTAAGAGAGATTTGTTCTATTAGAAGTCTAAATATTGCTTTCATAAATTACACTGAAATTTGGAGTTGATTTCTCCTCTTAATCTGGTGCTAACAAATAAAGACGTAGGGTTTCTCAAAGCCTAGAGAAGGGCTGCAAGTCAATCTTGATGTTCCCCTGTCCTATGCTAATATGTGTTATATCGTGACCCTAAAAGTTAGTTGTTGGGTTGTGAAGAGAAACTCAGTGTCATTGTGTTCTAGATACTATTAAGGGTTCTGAGAGAGGCAACTTAAAACTCAAAATCTGGCTGGGCACAGTGGCTCACGCCTGTAATCCCAGCACTTTGGGAGGCCGAGGTGGGTGGATCACAAGGTCAGGAGTTCGAGACCAACCTGGCCAACATGGTGAAACCCAGTCTCTACTAAAAATACAAAAATTAACTGGGCATGGTGGTGGATGCCTGTAATCCCAGCTACTTGGGAGGCTGAGGCAGAGAATCGCTTGAACCTGGGAGGCAGAGGTTGCACCGAGCCGAGATCGTGCCACTGCACTCCAGCCTGGGCGACAGAGTAAGACTCTGTTTCAAAACAAAACAAAAACGCTCAAAATCTGTGCTGGTGCTTACCTGTGTCCCAGCTACTTGGGAGGCTGAGGTGGGAGAATCCCTTGAGCCCAGAGGGGTTTGAGGCTGCAGGGAGCTATGATTGTGCCACTGTGCTTCAGTCTGGATGACAGAGTGACACTGTCTCAGAAAAAAAAAAGCCTCGAAAGCACCATCATCGTTAAGATTAATATTGCTTGTTTTAATCACAGCGATAATAGGAATGACTATAAATATTTTTAAATGTCTTAAGATGTTTCACAACATCTTAGTGGTTTTTTGTTTGCTTCATGAAAGACTGAAAGGCAGTCAGCTACAGGGAGCTAAAGGTGGCCAGTGGATGAGAAAGAGCTTGAATTTTGAAGGTGGAGCTAGGCTGCGCCACTAACTAGCTATGAGGACTTGGTAAAGTAGCTCAGCTCCTTTAAGCTTCTAATTCTGATCACTTCACAAAGCTTTGTGAGTATTAAAAGTAAAGAAAATTATATAAATGCTGACACATAGTAGGTGCTCAATATATGTTAGTTTTTTGTCTTAACTTTTTTTCTTTTCTTCATATGCAGCGTTTTTACAATGTGTAAATGCTTGTTTACTCTGTTATGAATAACAATGTAGTGGACGTCATTACAGTGGAAGAAAATGACGACTAAGGAATCTGCCTTTGTGTTGCATAACTTTACAGTCTTTCTTGTCATACAAATAGAATCTGTAAATAATGTCTCCAGCGGTTTTCTAGTGGTTTTCAACTACTTTCTCATTTTACGAAACTATTAAAAATGAGCTTTAACATTGATTAGTAGCTTTAACATCTGATTACCCATTGCAAGTTACCTTTTTCCCTTTTAGTATACTTTTCATGATATACTATGTAGGAGAAATGTGTAAGAAATCTTAACTTCTAGATAATAAACTAAAGGAAAATTAGAACAAAGACAAATTAAAGTTAGAAATAGTGGTAAGAAAAATTGCATGGTTTTTGTAACATGCTGGATAAGGAGGCTATTTCCAAATATCAGAAAGGTAAGAAAGCTCTCCCTTAATTTTGTCAACCTTGTTAATGCATCATAATAAAGGATGAGCAATTCTTTTAGAATTATTTTTGGGTAGTGCCATGAAAAATAACAAATCATATTATAGTGGTAAGCTAACATTTGAAGTCTAATTTTACTTGACATTTTTTCTGGTATGTGAAGAACTATATTTGCTAAGAATACAATCTATCCATTGAAATATCTAAGTTATTAAGCAGTGGAACAAAACAATGCTGCCATTATATAGTACTCGAAACTGACAGATAAGAGCTGATTCTTCTAGCAAACATATACTTTGAGAAGACTTGCCTCTCAACCCACAAGTAAAACTCACTGAACACAGAACAATGTACCATTGACCATGAAAGCTTTAACATGCTATACATTTTTTGGACGTGATATTCCATCCATCCATCCAACCATCCATCCATCCATTCATCTATGCAACTGCCCATGCTTTTATATTTAAAAAACAAATTACCTGAAAATACCTTTCTGTGCTTTTGTTTCTACAAAAATAAACCTGATTTTTCAGCCAAAGTCATTATCCTTTTTCTATTTAGAAATATATATTTGTTTAGAAACATGAGATGTAGGACAAGGTCCCTAACAAGTGGTCTCTAAATATTGTATGAATCAATGTCTACTGGAAATGAGACAAATCAATTATTAATTCATATTACCTACTAATAGCTATTTTTAAATGGTTGCTTCTAAAATTTACCTAGTTTCTAGTTCTATGTAATTATTTGAACTTATGCAAAATGAATCTACCTGTGATGGCATATTTTGGAAGGAGTTTTACCATCTTGTTATTAATAATATAGAGACGTAGACTAAATAATAGTATAGCTAGTGAATTTGTAGCTGTTTGAACAATGGTCACAGAGTTTTGATTAATGGATCAATATCAAACTGGAGTAGCGTCTCCAGTGACATGCCAGAAACATCTGTCCTAGATATTTTTTCCTCATAGTTTATATGAATAATTTGAACAAAGACTTAGGCAAACAAATCATGTTTGTAGAAGCTGCAGAACTGTGAGAACTATATTAAAATATTGAACCTATCAAATCAATACAAAATCAACACAATGACGTTCAATAGTCACACACATACACACACACACACAAATACACATATCCCAAATGTAAACTATGTGCATATATAATATGCATATATATATACATGCACTTCATGAAATATGCATCCATCAAAAAGTAACTTATAAATAGAATACCCAACAACATAGTAAGATGCTTGTGATTAATGCTAAAAACCCAGAATACACATTAGATAATCTTAATCTATGTAAACAATTATATGTCAATGAAAAATTCAACATATATACCCCAAATGTTATCTTTATTTTTCTGCTACATGTTATCTGTTAGTTCTACTTCTTTTTGTTTTAATTTTTATACTGAACGTATATTTCTAAAAATAATTATATAATTATTTAATTTTATGAATATAATTAAACAAATGGAAAAAGATTGAGGATGCCTGGCTTAAAACAGTTAATATTAATGGCTAATGATTGTTGCAGTTTGTTAAATATCTTGTGCTTTCTGTACTTTACCTCATTCAATCCTTGTAACAGACTTTAATTAACTTAAGCCTGACAATACCTATATGAGGTAAGTATCAACATTATTCTCATTTTAAAATTCAAGCTTAAAGGCCACATTATTAGTGTCATGCTCTGAAAAGATAAACATGAATGCTCAGTGGGGCCAATAAATAGCTTTACAAGTTATAGTAAGGAGATTATGTATGTAATGTATTTGCCTTAGTATTAACAAGCAGAAAGCTTTTATGATTAGCTGTACATGTTGCTATGTATACGTACACACACACACACACATACAAAGATGGTGGTAGTAGTAGGTGCTGTCAGGATCATCTTACAATATTTAAAGTGTTTAAAGTGTTATTTTGGCAGGGCACAACTGCTCACAACTGTAATCCCAACACTTTGGGATGCTGAAGTGGGAGGATCAGTGGAGCCCAGGAATTTGAGACCAGCCTGGGCAACAGAGCAGGACCCTGTTTCTACAAAAAATACAAAAATTAGCTGGGCATGGTGGTGCATGCCTGTAGTCCTAGCTATTCGGAAGGCTGAGGCGGGAGGATGGCTAGAGTCCAGGAGGTTGAGGCTGCAGTGAGCTATGATTGCACCACTGCACTCCAGCCTGGGCATCAGAGTGAGACTCTAAAAAAAAAAAAAAAAAAAAAAAAAAAGAGAAAAGAAAAAAGAAAGTCATCTTACTGAAAAGAAAGAAGACTTTTTTTTTTTCTGGCAATTTCAAAGGACCGAACTAGGACAAACATTGTGGAAATTACTGAATGAAAATTTCCTTTCAATATGAAATTCCTAAGAGATTGACTTACTTAGCCCTTTATTTCTGGAAATAATACAGAATCTGAATGATCATGTATCAGCAATATTTCATAAAGGATTTATGTCGAGTGAGGATTTTTATTAGATCTTCTATTTGTTTAAAGCTCTGCAGTTCTTTTTAACGCTTTTTCCGTAATTCAATTATATCTTATCTTCCTTAATTCTTAATTATTTTCCATGTTCCTCACACATATCTCATATTAAGAAGTGCATCCTTTTCTTTACTGCATTATTCTCAATGTAGACATTTGTTATTGGAACAGAATGAATGTTCCACTCACCTTCACAGCTAGAAACTATTTAACATTACTTCATTCTGGGCTTCAAGTGTCCATTACAAATAAATCTGAGTTTTGGATGAACCTGATAAGATGGATGTTGTCCAAAGAAATCAAATATCATCTCCTTTCCATAAGATGGGGCAGTTGGTGTCTCAAAGGCTTGGTCTGGGCAATGATTTGGAATTTGGAGCCAAAGAAGGTGGAGGCAATTAGCACAGACAAGTCTTTGGGGTTTCTGAGGTCAGTAAACAAGGCAAACAGTCTGGGAACAGTTGCCAAAACTAAATGGAACAAAACAAGGAGGATGAACCAATTCTCAGAGCCAAGAGGGTAGAAAGCAAGAGCAGAGGATTTCTGTAACGGGTTAGAGCAATGGGGTGAAGGCAAGAGTGGAGGAATTCTCTAATCCAGATTTCAGATGATGCCACATCCACAGCCTTAGTGAGTGTGGCCGTGGCGAGGAGGGGCATATGCTGAAGTTCACTCTCAAGGGACACCTTCAGGCACGAGTTTATTAAAAAGTATTTAATGACTGCATCATATGAACAAACACTTCGCTAAGTACATTGAGAACTACAAAAACAACACAGGCATACATCTTGTTCTCAAGAGATTACTTTGTAATAGATTGGAAAGATATAAATAGAAATAGAATAACAAGTATATGAATATATAATTATACATAAGTTAAGGGGTAGGAGAAAATGGACTTATTTATCACCTGGTTAGTAAATACGTAAGTGGGCAAATATGAGAGGAAGATTGGAAATAATTTGGAAGAAAACATTTCTAAAGCTTTTCAAGACATATTACACCATCTTAAAACTTTCTAGTTCGGTACAATTCTTCCAAACAGAATTGATGAAAAGAACTACACAAAATAACAGTAAATAAAGCTTTAGTGTTAAGAGGAAACTGGCAATCAACCAATCCATGCCCTCTGCTTTACAGATGGAGTTACCGCAGCCCAGAGTGGTTGGAGGGCTCGCCTGAATGACACAGCAGTTCTGTTTGTTAGCACTCCGTTTGTCTAATTAATGGGCACTCACAGGAAATGATTGTTCATGTGAGTCTGTATTAACTAGTGGTAAACCAGTTTTAAATTTCACATGGATAAGTTTGATAAATCTGGTGTTCAACACCTGAAAGCATTGAGACTGATAAACCTGTTCAAAATGATGCATAAACATTTATACAACTCCCAAGCCGTGTGATGGCTGACTGATATATGTACCAACACTGTGTGAAAATGCCTTTTGGATTCCATTATTACTTCTTCTGGGGCTTCTTCAGAATGTACTATTAGAACATGCATTATTACAAATATTATGTTTATCTCATCAAACGCTGGCATGGAGCATGCCAGCCATCTCCCTTCTACTGCCTTTAGACCAAGTCATTGCCAAAAAAATGAATTCTTAATGTTTTCTATTGTGATTTAATATTTGCACTAGAAAATGATCCTGAAGCTTGCATTTTTCTATGATGTCTTCTACATTTGCTTTTCAGAGTAATTGAGGGAACCAAAAATGTAAAATATGGTTTGTAGGTGCTCAGTGGTTTTAATTTTATAATGTCTAACTCTATTTATTCAATTTTTGCAATGAACTTTGAGGACAAATAGCATTATTTTGCCTGGATTTATGTGAGAAATCTCAGACACAGAAAGGTCAGAGTGTGTGAGTGATAGAAACAGCAACAACAACAACAAAAATCTGTGGATTAATGACAAGCTTTTATTCCCCTAGAAGCTCTTTTTCCCCTAGAAGCTCTTTTCCAACAAATATGGTATCGGTAAAATTCAATAAAGAAATTCTTTGTAGCCTTCATTTTAGTTATATAAATAATTATTTGTAGTTTCAGCAAGGTGTTAAAAGAAAAGGGTTATTAATATTATAGATATAACTGCCAATTCAAAATATTCTTGGCATTAAATTTGTCTTTTTCAGTAATTTTCTTAGACAACACTACAATATTCAAAAACATATGGTGTTTACAATTTCACCCACAGGCTATTTTTCCAAAATGACTTCACTGATGGGCAATCATAGGATTTTCAAAATAGATTTTCAATGTAAAATTTTACTTCCTCCATCCTTTATCTGATTCTTAACCCTTTGCTACAGTCACACCATTCACCAAAATGGGCAACACACTTATTATGCTGTGGGAATAGTAAAATTTGCATGTTTTATTTCACAATCTATCTAAAGCAGAAATGAGTTTATTATTTTATTTATATATGCAAATGTATAAACACATGTGATGGTATTATGTGTATGTGTATATTATTCATTCTT
The DNA here is from genome assembly GCF_000001405.40 of Homo sapiens. NCBI lineage: Eukaryota > Metazoa > Chordata > Mammalia > Primates > Hominidae > Homo > Homo sapiens. Next base: position 36,474,026 of record NC_000015.10, on the reverse strand, counting down.
TCTCTTTATACATTCTACATAAACCTACAAACTGATATTTATTTGAGGATATAGAACCAATTTTATTTATTGTGCAAGGTCTAACACAAGATTTTAGTCATGACCACTACTCAGAACAGTAGAGAAGTTTGATTAATACAGCAGTTCCATTTTCACACACTTTGAGCAATAAGACATCTATAAGGCCAATCTGGAGTCCAGAGCATTCAAAATAGTTAGTGTATGTGGAGTAAATTCTTTACTGACAATTAGGAAGTAGTAATTTCTAGCTATATTTTTGTGAACATGTACTATATCTCTGATTCTTGAAATATAACTTCATTTTATTTTAAGTTAGAGTTAAGGTCTTACTCTGTCACCCAGGCTGGAGTACAATGGCATAATCATAGCTAACTGCAACCTTGAACTTTTGGGTTACAGGGATCCTCCTGCCTCAGGCCTTCCAAGTAGTTAGGAGTACAGGTATGCACCTTTGTGCTTCATTATTTTTAAGTTTAATTTTTATTTATCTATTTACTTATTTTGAGACAGGGTGTCACTTTTGCCCAGCCTGGAGTGCAATGGTGCGATCTCTGCTCACTACAACCTCCGCCTCCTGGGTTCAAGTGATTCTCCTGCCTCAAACTCCCGAGTAGCTGGGATTACAGGCATGCACCACCATGCCCAGCTAATTTTTTATATTTTTAGTAGAGACGGGGTTTTGCCATGTTGGTCCAGCTGGTCTCAAACTCCTGATCTCAGGTGATCCACCTGCTTCAGCCTCCCAAAGTGCTGGGATTACAGGCATGAGCCACCGTTCCTAGCCACTAATTGTTATTTATTTACTTTTTTTTTTTAACAGGGTCTGGCTATGTTGCCCAGGCTGGTCTCAAATTCTTGTCCTCAAGTGATCATCCTGCTCGGTCTGCCAAAGCACTGGGATTACAGGCATGAGCCACTGCACCTGGCCACATTAATTTTTCTAATTCTGCAAGTTAGACATTGTTGAGAACTAAGTCACATGGAAATGAAGTCATTTGTCCCACATGATACAGATATGAAGTGCTAACCAGAATTTGAACCAAGATTTGTCTGGTTCCAAAGATTCAATAAAGGAGAGTGGGATGTGATGGTGATCTGTTAAGGCAGAATGTTGAGCAATTCTACTAAACCACGATTGATCATTTGAGCGCTGCCCTAGCCTATTGTGCAAGAGGTTCGGAGGATCATGTACACTTGTATGCATATGATCTGTCCAATTTGTCAAAAAAGTGGAAAGGAATAAGGTGCACTTATGAAGGGCTCTAGTCCTGGAGTCATTCAGATCTAAGTTGGGGCTCAAGTTATGTTGCATTCTAATTACATGACCTGGGCAGGTTATTTACCTTCAATACGTTTCAATTTTCTCATTAGCAAATTGATCCTAGTGTTAGCATTATTAAGGATGGTTATTGCAATTTATTGAGATAATCCATGTGAAATCTGCTTTAAAGGGTGCTTGGAGTATATTACGCACCCAAAGGTGTACTGTTAATTCTTATTACGATAAAATGTAAAAGTTACAATATTCACTTATATATTTATCTAGTTACTTTATTATAACACAAAAACTACTGCTCTAAAATAGTTCTAAATGGTACAGGAGCTCACCAAGAAAGATAATAGAATAACAAGTATTCAGAGTTGGAATGCCATGAAGGGCAAATGATAGATCATATCTTAAAATACACATTTTTGTGCTTTATTCAAACGATAGAAACGGTAGACTCTTGCTTGCAGCTACGCTGGCTAGTGACCTAGTACAATGGACAATTGCTTGATATTTTAAGGCATTTGCAAGGGAATGAATATTTAACGAAAGTGTCCATATTAAACACTCACAGTATTTTTCCTTTTTTCAATGAGGAAACTGAGTTTCAGTTAGATTGAATAGTCTGCCCAACATTTTGTAGGTGACAGAGCCAGGATTCACGGTCAAGTCTAATCTGCCTCAAAGCCTGTGTTCTCTCCATGATTTCAGGTGTGTGGTTTAAGAATTGGAAAGGGCCAGGAACCAGGACTTAATCTAGTCTTACTTCTGCCACTAACAGGCTATGTGACCTTGGCTAAGTCATTTGACTTCCTTGAACCTCAATTTCCTTTCCTTTTGGAATACAAAGACATGAAATTGACAGTGGTGTTGAAATCTTTTGTGAGCCAGGACTTTTTTTTTTTTTTTTTTTTTTTTTTTTTTTTTTTTTGAGACGGAATCTCGCCCTGTGGCCCAGGCTGGATTGCAGTGGCGCGATCTTGGCTCACTGCAAGCTCCGCCTCCCGGGTTCACGCCATTCTCCTGCCTCAGCCTCCCGAGTAGCTGGGACCACAGGTGCCTGCCACCACGCCCGGCTATTTTTTTTTTTTTTTTTTGTATTTTTAGTAGAGACGGGGTTTCACCGTGTTAGCCAGGATGGTCTCGATCTCCTGACCTCGTGATCCGCCCGCCTCGGCCTCCCAAAGTGCTAGGATTACAGACGTGAGCCACCGCGCCCGGTCGAGCCAGGACTTTTAAAGGGAATTCCTATGTGCTTGTTGAAGCCTCCCTGTGTCTCGCAGCTCAGGATGGTTTCCAGAATAGTGCTTAGTCCGGGTAGTCAGCAAGTGTCAGCGAATTAACCTTCAATGGCCCTTCCATCAGCAAGGGACAAGTGTTGGTAGATAAATATTTCCGCCTTCTCTCCTGCAGCGAAACTGTTGTAAGAGGCATGTTCCACAGTCTGTCAGAGGGTCCCAGCCAGATGGAGTGCCTGCCATTTGTCCACAGTGGTAATCCTCTTAGTAATACCTTTATTAGGTTTCCTTCTTCGACCCCTTCCTCTCCATTTCCCTCACAGTGCTTCCTGGATTTGCCTCTCAAATAAAATATTTGCACCCAAATCTTGTCTTCTTTTGGAGGAATCTACGCTAAGACAAGATTCACTATATAAAACAGGTTAAAAATGGTCGAAGCAGTCCCATATGCTCAGTGACCTTCTTGCTTCTCTGAGGTGGATCCTAAGAACAACTGCTAGGCTGGTTTTTATTGAACATGGTTTGGAAATCTCTCGAACAAATGATTCCTGAGACCCACCCCAATTCCAATGCTATCATTTTGTGAGTTTTATTATTCATCTGAATTCTTACAACTGGTGTTTGGTAACCAGAAGAAACCTGCAAGGTGATGGTGAGTGAATAGCGGTCTTTGAAATAGCACTTTCAGATTTTCTTATGCTATGTAAATGTAAATTGTCATTTTTTTCAATTAAAAAAATAGATGGAATCTTTTCTACTTATAAGCTATTCCTTTATAAACTAAAACATTAACTTTTTAATATTGATTTAAGAAAACCCATCTAGTGCAGATGGATTTATTTTTCTCCAAGATGTATGATTTTTAAACTCCTCAGGATATTTGATCTTGTTATTTTTAATGTACTTTAAAAACGTTCTTTTTCTAATTTTAACTTCAATCTGTGTTCATTGTAGATAATTTAGGAATTACAGGCAATGTTGAAGAAAATGAAAATCATGTTTTTCCTTCTATTCTTAGATTTTATTTGTATATATGCTATAAATCAGCACATATGTAAACACATACACATAAATATATACTTAAAACATTAGGATAATATTTATAAATAGTTTTGTATCATTTGAAAAGCATAACATTGTTTCACAGTATTTTTCAGTGTTAATAAATATTCTTCAAATCATCCTATGCCATATTTGATTTGATTTTTTTTCCTATTTTTGGACACTGATACTGCTTCTTATGTGTCACCATTACATGAAAAAAACTTGCAAAAATCTTTGCCTAACTCTCTGATTTAAAATTAATTCTTAGGCGTAGAATTACTGGTTCCAAAGGTAGGAGCAACATTAAGTCTCTCGATACATTTTATCTTTGAGAAAGTCAGCATATTCCAATTAGAAACATGTGAGAGTGGCTTGCTTTCTTTTATTTCTTCTTCTTACTTTCCCCCCATCATTTAAATAGCATTGAAGAAAAAGATTGAAAAGGGAAAACTCCTGCTTGTAGCAGCTCTGCCTGGTGACTGGGTAGACTACTTTATTAATTGGATTTTAGAAGCTATGCCCAGTATTTTCAAGAACTGTTTATTCTAAAACTGTGAACGCTGCTCAGAGCTTATATAGCTTTGCCTTTGCTATTAATACAGGCCACAATTTAGATCCTGTGTTTTTTCCTGTGGAAAAGCATCATGGGCCAGAAAAATCGTGGTAAAGATTTGCTCATTCACACAATTTTGTTCATTCTAAGCAGAGGCTGAGATGCCATGCATGCTTCGTGACACAGAGGAATGGAAGTTTGCTTTTGACAAAAGAAGAAAAAAAAATCTTAGCTTTTCAATAGCAGGTAGCAGAACATAAAACACAATACGGAGTTAAAAATTTCCCCCACTCTTTAGAAAAAAAATACTGATATCTCATTTGGATGTTTTCTTTTTTTTATTGCAGTATTATGCAAGGAAAGTGGTACTTAAAAAGCCATAATCCGTTGCTAAAGGCATTCGTTTCCTTTTACAGCTCAGGTGCAAATGCAATATGCTATGAAAGACATGTTACAGGCTTTAATGTTTCTTCTAATAAACAGGATAGGATCGTAGTCCATGTGAATTTTTGAATCCTAGAAAATTTCAACTAAGAACTGCAGTGAAGATAGAGATTTAAAACCACAGCAGGAACTCAAAACCAAGCTAACATAGTCCATTATTAAAGGAGACACTTTCTTACATGAGAATAAACTTACTAAATTATTCTCTCCTTTCAGTTAAGTATTTACAGAACAGTTTGAGTCTGTGAAAAAATATTTTGTGGTATCAGAAAGCATTCGAATGTTTCAGGTGAGAAATTTAATAGCCACCTTTTCAGAGACACTTGGGGATTTTCAACGATCGGGTTAGAACATGCAGGCGCATGTCATGTGGTTAGGTAGACTTTGCAGGCCTTAAGTACTACCGTCTAAACCTCAGTGTGTTGTTTCTTCACCCTCCTTCCCTCTGTCTGGTCTGTTTATGTATGTGGGAGAAGGCTTGTTGAGTGTGGCTGATCTCTCCCAGCTGCGGCCTCTTCATTGACTCTAATTTCTTTCTCCATAGCTCATTTGGACCCAAGCAGTGGTGAAATTGCTGACTGGTGAGTGTGTCCTGCCACAAAAGCCATAGGCAAGATGTGGCCACAACCAAAAGAGCATGAAAGATGGAAAACACCATCTGGATCATGCAATTCAAATCACATCAACTTCTCTTTTTTTCATTTAAGAAAAATCATCCATGCAGCCTTTTGTTGCTTTCTGCTGTGGCCAGAAACCACTTAGGTTGCAATCCTCTGTTAGTGAAAGAGAAAGTCCAAAGGGACTCCAGTACATACATTGCCCCCTTTCAAGTTTTATGCACAGTTTTTTTTGGGGGGGATTGGGGAGAGTCCACAACTCTGTAGACTTTTATTCAGCTTGGAACCATAGAAAGTAGCTTCTGACTGTACCTCTGTCATTGATCGCCCCGAAAGGGCTCACTGCACTCCATGGATTGTCATCCAGTTGTTAGATAAGGAGAGTTTGTTTTCTGTTTCAATATAGCTAATAACCCCAAAACGAGCAGGGAGTTCTAGAGAGTTCATGTTCATATCCATTTGGGAAAAAAAATATCACAATACCCTTCCCAGTTTTTCACCAGATTTAGTCAGTCTTTGGCTTTGCTGTGTGATGAAGATCTATAGTCTTATGTTGGTATATTTTGACAGTAGTATTTTATAACAAATAAATGATCTGGTTGCTTTTATTTTAATCAAGAATCAAGGCCCATTTTCTAGCCATGAGGATAATTAAATAATAATTTTGTCAGTGATTTGGGTTCATCACAGATAGCATTCATTTCTGTTGAGGGATGTTAGAGAAGTATTGTCATATAGTAAGAACGATACTGGAGTAAGTGTCAGCGACTGAGCTCTGTCACTAAATAGCTCAGTAACTTTAAGCAAGTCATCTAACCTCTTCTGCTTGTATCTTCATCTGTGATAGGAGGATTGAGATCTCCTCCTTCTCTGCAAAGCCACTTCTGAATCTTCAGAATGAAAAGTGGGGAGCAAAACGTAGATGGCATTGAATGATGTCTACTAAGTGCCAGCACGTGGAAGACTACTTAAAATGCTCTCTGTGTATTACCCATTGCAATTGTTAAAGGCAGTAGGCACAATATTATTATGTACATGTTGTAGGTGATGACATTGAGACTTAGAACATTTAAGGAATTTCCCAAAGCCTCAAATTACTTATAGGCAGAGCTGGAATAAAATCCCAAGTCTCCCTGGCACCAAAGCCTGTCTGCTTCATAATTATTGAGCATTTATTATGACCACAGAAGTTTTCTTAAACCAGCCCATTTAATCTTCCAAAAAAAAAAAAAGAAACCAAAAAACACTGTCAGGTTAATATCATAATTTCCATAATTTCCATGACGCAGATAAGGAAATTTCAGGGTAGAAAATTAAGAAACCTACCAAGAGTGGCGTGAGTTATGTAGAACAGGGGAGCTAAGATTTATTCTTATGTTAGCCTAATTCCCACAACCAAGCTCTTTCTACTACACCAATTGGATGCCTGGTAAACCCAAGTTTGTTGGAGAATTAGGTAGCTTTTTGTTTACTTTGGTTTTGACTTTAAGTTGGTAGGGTCAAATTCATTTGGCTAAATGTTAGGTAGTATCATGCAAAATGTTATTTATTTTCCTAATCTCTGGACATAGCCCATTCAAGCTGGACAAACCAATAAGACAAGTTTGGGTTAATTTTCAGAGCCCAAACAAAACCTTGGATAATCTGAGAGAGCAATGCATGATTGGCTGGGGAGGGTGATGTCACCAAGATCAGATCCATGCTATTCATTTTTATAAAATGGTCTTTTATAAAGTGAGATAATTTAAGAGTTCAAACGATCTCTTCAGGAAAGATGAGTAGATACTGTCTTGAAATTTGGAGAATATCATGGAACATCTCAGTTTTCTTGTTCTTTTTAACTTCACAACTTTTTTTTTTTTAATATAATGAAGGCATGACAATAAGTAGGTAGGGCATATGGGAATCTTCTCAAGTAAAAGCTACTAAAGAGAGAGTTTCATTTCAGGGTGACTGCATCCCACAGAAAGAGTGCTCTCCAGCTCCAGACTTGCACAGGGGGAGAGTCACGATCCTCTCTTTATGGAACATTGACATACCTGCAAATGAAAAGAAGTGCCTGTTCGATCTGCATAGCCAGAACACTGGGTCAGGAGTGTGACTAAGAGGTGGATCACCTTTCTACTGGCCTGGAAGGGCAGCTGAGGTGGTTCCCATCCTTATTTCTGGTAAGACTTCAGTGCATTTCACTGAGAGCTCCCCCAGCTGCCTCTGTCAAGGCTGAGACCTCGGCCTACCATCAGTATTGCATTTAGCCACCTGCTTTAGTCACAACCAATTTTTACCCATGGACACCTCCACTACTGGCATGAAGGCTGAACTGTTCATACTAGTAAATAAAATACTGGGGAAAAATAAATAAATCAATCAATGCAGACCACTGGGGTATAAGGAAGCTTCAAGGGACCTCTGTCATTCCAACCCCAAACCAGACAGTGAACCTGCTCACACACTGAGCACATTGCTACAACAACAAGCATTTGAGAAAGCCATCATACAAAGACTGCCTATAACTAAGGAACTCATATAAAGTCTTCATCCTTGAATGCAACAAGAGACAAATTAGGCTACAATGAACTATAAACATTAAAGCTGCATTCTTAAAGGGGAAGAAATTAAAAAAAACACAGTAGAGTAAAAAGTAAACTCCAGAATAATTAGAAGAAATAGTCTACTGAAATGAGAAGGAACCAGAAATATTATTCTGGCAATATGACAAAACAGGATGCCATAACATTCCCAGAAGATCACACTAGCTCTCCAGCAATGGCTACAAAATAAGATAAAATCTTTGAAATACCAGATAAAGAATTCAAGAGGTTGATTATTAAGCTATTCAAGGAGATACAAGAGAAAGGTGAAAACCAACATAAAGAAATTAAAAAGAACAATTCAGGATATGAATTAAAATTTTTCTGAAGAGATAGATATTTTAAAGACAATCCAATCAGAACTTCTGGAAATGAAAGACAAATTCAGGGAATTACAAAATGCAACGAAAAGTTTTAACAATAGACTAGACCAAGTAGAAGAAAATATCTCAGAGCTCAGAAATGAAGTTTTCAAATTAAACCAAACAGACAAAAATAAAGAAAAAAAAATCAAAAGAAATGAACAAAGTCTCCAAGAAATATGGGATTATATAAAATGGTCAAACCTAAGGATCAATGGTGTTCCTGAGGGAGAAACAAAAGCAAAAAGTTTGGAAAATTTATTTAAGGGAATAATTGAGAAAACTCCTCTAGCCTTGCTAGAGAATTAGATATCCAATTACAAGAAGCTCAAAGAACTCCTGGGAGATTTATTGCAAAAAGGACATCACTAAGGGATATAGTCATCAGACTACCTAACGTCAACATGAAGGAAAGTACTCTAAAAGCAGTGAGACAAAAGCATCAGGTAACCTATAAAGGAAAACCCATCAGACTAACAGCAGACTTCTTAGCAGAAACCTTATAAGCCAGAAGATGGGGTTCTATCATTAGCCTCCTTAAACAGAATAACTGTCAGCCAAGAATTTTGTATCTGGCCAAATTAACTTTTATAAGTGTAGGAGAAATAAAGTCTTTCAGACAAACAAATGCAGAGGGAATTTGTCACTACAAGACAAGTCCTACAAGAAATGCTAAAGGGAGTTCTAAATCTTGCAAACAAAGGTCAGTATGCACCAAAATAGAACCTCTTGAAAATATAAAACTCACAGGGCCTATAAAACAATAACACAATGAAAAAAAATATCTAGGTAACAACCAACATGATGACTGGAACAGTACCTCACATCTCAACATTAACGTGGAATATAAATGGTCTAAACACTCCACTTAAAAGATACAGATTGGCAGAATTGATAAAAAAAATCAAAAACCAAATATCTACTGCCTATAAGATATTCACTTAATACATAAGGATTCTTATAAACTCAAGGTAAAGGGGTGGAAAAAGATATTTCATGCAAATGGAAACCAAAAGCTAGCAGGAATAGCTATTCTTATGTAAGATAAAACAGACTTTAAAGCAACAACAGTAAAAAAAAAAAGACAAAGAAGATCGTTATATAATGATAAAAGAATCCAACAGGAAATTATTACAATCCTAAATATATGTAGCACCTAACTCTGGAGCTTCCAGATTCTTAAAACAATTACTACTAGACCAAAGGAAAGAAATAGGAGTATAATAATAGTGGGGAACTTCAATACTCCACTGACAGCACTAGAGAGATCACTGAGGCAGAAAGTCAATAAAGAAACAAAGGACTTAAACTACATTCTAGAAGAAATGGACCTAACAGATATTCATAGAACATTCTACCCAACAACTTCAGAATACACATTCTTCTCTTAAGCACATGGAATAGTCTCCAAGACAGACCATATTATAGGCTACAAAATAGGTCTCAATAAATTTTAAAAAATCAAAATCATATCAAGTATCTTCTCAGAACACAGTGCATTAAAACTAGAAATCAACTCCAAAAAGAACGCTCAAAATGATACAAATGCATGGAAATTGAAAAATCTGCTCCTGAATGATTTTTGGGTTAACAGTGAAGTCAAGAAGAAAATTTAAAAATTCTTTGAAATGAATGATAATAGTGACACAAGTTATTAAAACCTCTGGAATATAGCAAAAGCAGTGCTAAGAAAAAGTCTGAAAGATCCCAAATTAAGAACCTTATGTCATACCTCATAGAATTAGAAAAACAAGAACAAACCAAACCCCAAGCTAGCAGAAGAAAAACAATAATGAAGATCATAACAGAACTAAATGAAATTGAAAAATCCCCAGAGAACAATGAAACAAAAAGTTGGTTATTTGAAAAGATAAACAAAGTTTATAGACCATTAGCTACATTAACCAAAAGGAGGGAGAAAATTCAAATAAGTTCAATTGGAAATGAAAATGGAGATATTACAACTGACACCACACCACAGAAATGCAAAATATCATTCAAGTCTCCCACGAACACCTATATGCACAGAAATGAGAAAATCTAGAAGAAATGAATAAATTGCTGGAAATATATAACCCTTCTGAACTGAATCAGGAAGAAACAGAAATCCTGAACAGAATAATAACAAGCAGTGAGATTGAATCAGTAATAAAAAAAATTGCCAGGCCAGGCGTGGTGGCTCATGTCTGTAATCCCAGCACTTTGGGAGGCTGAGGTGGGTGGATTGTGAGGTCAGGAGTTTGAGACCAGCTTGACCAACATACTGAAACCCCACCTCTACTAAAAATACAAAAATTAGCCAGGCATGGTGGTGCACACCTGTAGTCCCAGTTACTCGGGAGGCTGAGGCAGGAGAATCACTTGAACCTGGGAGGCAGAGGTTGTGGTGAGCTGAGATCATGCCACTGCACTCCAGCCTGGGCAACATAGTGAGACTCCATCTCAAAAAAAAAATTGCCAACAACAAAAAAGGCTGGGGCCAGATAGATTCATAGCTGAATTCTACCAGACATTCAAGGAAGAATTGACATCAATCCCACTGAAACTATTCCAAAAGAGAAAGAGGGAATCCTCTGCAACTCATTCTATGAAGCCAGTATCACCCTGATACCAAAATCCAGAAAAAACATAACAACAACAAAAAAGAAAATTACAGACCAATAAACTTGATGAACAAAGATAAAAAATTTCTCAAGAAAATATTAGCAAACCAAATCCGACAAGACATCAAAAAGATAATACACCATGATCAAGTGGGTTTCATCCCAGGAACGCAGATGATTTAACAAACACAGTCAATAAATGTGATATAGCACATAAACAGATTTAAAAGCAAAAACCATATGATCATCTCAATAGATGCAGTCAAAGCATTCAATAAAATGTAGCACAATTTTATGATAAAAACTCCCAACAAACTAAGCATAGAAGGTAGATACCTCAAAATAACAAAAGCCATATATGACAAACCCTAAGCCAACATCATACTGAATGAGGAAAAGTTGAAAGCATTCCCCCGAGAACTGTAACAAGACAAACATGCCCACTTTCACCACTTCTATTCAACATAGTACTGAAAGTCCTATCCAGAACAAGCAGGCAAGAGAAAAAAATAAAAAGCATCCAGACAGGAAAAGAGGAGGTCAAACTACCTCTATTTGCCGATGATATGATTGTATGCCCAGAAAACCCTAGTCTTCTCCAAAAGACTTCTTGATTTGATAAATGAATTCAGTAAAGTCTCAGGTTACAAAATCAATGTATACGAATCAATAGCACTGCTATACACCAGCAACGACCAAGCTGAGAATCAAACCAAGAACTCAATCCCTTTTATAGTAGTTGCAAAAAATTAACATATCTAGGAATATACTTAACAAATGAGGTGAAAGATCTCTACAAGGAGAACTATAAAACACTCCTGAAAGAAATAATAGATGACACGAACAAATGGAAATACATCCTATGCTCATGGAATGGAAGATTCAATATGAAAATGACCACACTGACCAAAGCAATCTACAGATTCAATACAATTTACATCAAAATACCAACATTATTTTTCACAGAATTAGAAAAAACAATCCTAAAATTCATATGAAACCAAAAAAAGGGCCCAAATAGACAAAGCAATTCTAAGCAAAAAGAGCAAATCTGCAGGCATCACATTATCTGACTTCAAATTATACTACAAAGCTATAGTCACCAAAACAGCATGGTTCTGGTATAAAAGTACATATATAGACTAATGAAATAGAGAACCCAGAAATAAAGCCAAATGCTTACAATGAATTGACAAAGCATACAAAACATAAATTGGGGAAAGGACACCCTATTTAATAAATGGTGCTGGGAAAACTGGATAGCCACATGTAGAAGAATGCAACTGGATCCTTATCTCTCACCATATACAAAAATCAACTCAAGATGGGTCAAAGACTTAAATGTAAGACTTGAAATCATAAAAATTCTAGAAGAAAACCTAGGAAAAACTCCTAGGCTATTGGTCTCCTGGATATTGGCCTAGGCAAATAATTTATGACTAGGACCCCAAAAGGAAATGCAACAAAAGCATAAATAAACAAATGGGACCTAATTAAACAAAAAAATTTCTGCACTGCAAAAGAAATAATCATTAAACAGACAACTCACAGAATGGGAGAAAGTATCTGCAAACTATGCATCCAACAAAGCACTAATATCCAGAATTTACAAGGAACTCAAACAAATCAGCGGGAAATAAACCCTAAATAATTCCATCAAAAAGTGGGCAAATGACATGAATAGATATTTCTTAAAAGAAGATATAAAAATAGCCAAGAAACATATAAAAATGCTCAACATCACAAATCATCAGGGAAATGCAAATTAAAACCACAATGAGGTAACAGCTTCCCCCCACCAGAATGGCCACTATTAAAAAGTAGATGATCAAAGTAGATATCAAATAGATCTTGATATGGATATGGTAAAAAGGAATGCTTATATACTGCTTCTGGGAATGTAAATTAGTACAACCTCTATGGAAACAGTGTGGAGATTTCTCCAAGAACTAAAAGTAGATCTACCATTTGATCCAGCAATCCCACTACTGCGTATCTGCCTAAAGGAAAATAAGCCATTATACCAAAACAACACCTTCACACATGTGTTTATTGCAGCACAATTCACAATTGCAAAGATAGGGAATCAACATAAGTGCTCATTGACCAATGAGCAGATAAAGACAATTTGGCATGTATACACCATGGAATACTACTCAGCCATAAAAAAATGAAATAATGTCTTTTGCAGCAACTTGGATTGAGCTGTAGGCCATTATTCTAAGTGAAGTAACTCAGGAATGGAAAACCAAATACCGTATGTTCTCACTTATAAGTGGGAGCTAAGCTATAGGTATACAAAGTCATGCAGTGATGTAATGGACTTTGGCGACCTAGAAGTGGAGAGAGTGACAGGGAAGTGAGGGATTACAAAATGTATAGTAAGTACAACATATACTACTTGGGTGACAGGTGAACTAAAGTCTTAGACTTCACCACTACACAATTCATCCATGTAACCAAAAACCACTTGTACTCCAAAAGCTATTGAAATAAAAATATACTAAAAAATCATAAAAATAAAAATTTAAATGTAAATAAAAGAGAGTTTGCAGGAGTAGATATAACCAATTAGTGTCAATTATGGCTGCTTTGTCAATAAGTGGAATAGTATGCTCATCTAGTACTATTGATGATTTCAAGCCTGGTTGATCAAATTCATTTGCGTCCTTAAAAAATTCAACTTCCTGGGCCTCCAATCTAGTTGTATTAAATATGAATCGCTAGGGAGTGTGACCAGGGCATGTGCATTTAAAAAATCTCCCCAGACGGCTCTCATGTGCAACCAGTTTTGGGGAACCACTGAGGTAGGCTGGAGTCTGGCCTCTTAGCAGTTCCTTAAAGGTAGTCTATGAATAGAGATGCTGCTGCTGCTTTCACTTGTGTGGTAGAAGGACTTTGTTTACCTACAGAGTCATAAAGAGGAACGTCACTTGGAAATTCACTTGGATGCCACTTTGTAAGCCTCAGTCACAGAAAATGTCTAAAATTTACTTGTGACTTTTTTTTTTGCCTTGCTAAAGAGTGTACTTTCCTTTTTTTTTTTTTTTTTTTTTTTGAGACAGAGTCTCGCTCTGTCGCCCAGGCTGGAGTGCAGTGGCGCCATCTCGGCTCACTGCAAGCTCCGCCTCTCCGTCTCACGCCATTCTCGTGCCTCAGCCTCCCGAGTAGCTGGGACTACAGGCACCTGCCACCACGCCCGGCTAACTTTTTTGTATTTTTAGTAGAGACGGGGCTTCACCATGTTAGCCAGGATGGTCTCGATCTCCTGACCTCGTGATCCGCCCGCCTCGGCCTCCCAAAGTGCTGGGATTACAGGCGTGAGCCACCGCACCCAGCCTCCTTTTGTTTTCTTTTGAGGGAATAAATACTATAACAATTCAGTCAATGCTTTATATTTGCCACGGTTAGAGAAGAACTGGAATAAACAAAAGTTCTTGCTTTCCATTCTGAAAGTATGGCAGAGTTCTTTTGTGAAGGAATTTGGGTCACAAGGTACTGTAAGAAAAATTAAACATTAGTTTTCATGAATTTCCTTGAGAAACAGGTTTTAGAAATGTGTTCACCATGTATCGGAATATTTTACTTTCTTTTAAGTCATATTATATATTTTGACAGGCCCTCAGTTTAACAAAATGCATTGGTTGTAAAGGACAAATATCTCACTACTGTTAATTTGCTTTTTATTTATAATGTCTTTTTCCGTGATGCATGTATGCTTTGTTCTTCCCTGCCCCCAGTCTTCTTTCAGCTGCAATAGATTTACATATGAGGTTTTAATTTATTTATTTGAGATGATGGAAAGGGCCAGAATTATATTTGGACCTGTGTATGCAAAGGAAGATGAGAAATTTCCCGTGGGGTGTAAGAGAATGAATAGATTTTAACAAAATAAAATGAGAGACCAACATTGCAGATGCTCAAAGTTTAAACAGACTCTGAGAAAAACTGTAAATCAAAGATTGTAAGCTCTATATGATATTGAAGTAATAGTATACTTTATTTATAATAAAATCATTTTTCTTTAGCTGTTATGAGTAGGATTTTTCTTATAAATTAGTCAGTCATGAAAGTATCAGAGGCATATCTAAAAAAACTTTTTCTCCATCACTTTCCTTGTTGTGAATAATTTGGTTTAGTTGATGTGGAGTTTTCTAATAGTTGCATATCCCAAGATCAGCGTCTAATTTATGTGTGAGAAACATATATTGGTTTCTTTTTTATGGCAAAGAGAAAATCAGATAGTATGGGTCTATTCCATTGATTTCAGAAAAATAAATAAACCTAAAACACAAAATACCACCAGAAGGATGAGGGCTAAAAACAGTGGGTCTGTTTGCTTTTAGTAATTTAAATTTCATTAGGGTAAAGTCCAACAGAAGGAATATTAAAATCTAAACTGAAATTGTTATTTAAAATCATGTTCTTGGAGAAGGGGGCAGGTTAGAGATAGAGCTATAAGTTGTGAATCATGTAAAACTGATTTAAGATTCAACTGCATTTTATACTTTCTATGAGGCCATTAGAATTGGAGTATTTCTTTGAATGAATTGTGTTCCGTTTCCAAGGCCTGTATCTGCTCAGACTTGGTTTGCATGGTGATCACAGCGCAGCCTCAGGCATCCTTCCCTGTGTGTGTTTGAGAAATACTGTATCACTAGTCTGCTCCTGGTTTTCCAGACAGCCACAAATGCATCACTAAGTAAGAAAAAGCACGTTTACTCTGCTCAGAGTGGTTCGCTCTTCTATATTCCCGAGCAAACTGACTCAAAGGCAACTTTCTCCTTTAGCTTGGGTGAAGTATGTCCTTTACATTGAAGAGTTTCTGTTCCTTAAGCTTAATGAAAATACTTTTTGATATGAGTTCCCATGCAAGCTAATTTAGCATCCCATCTACATCTAACCATAGATAGCTGTTTTGAAAATACCACTGGTCTGTAAAGAGATTTATGCTAGACAGTGTATTAGAATAAGAAAAAATTCATTCTAGCTATTGGTAAAACAACTCATTACTTTACGTTCTGTGGCTGCAAATGATGCTTCCACATTAGGAGGGGAACATGAAAAGAGAACAGTGTTACTACCTAATGAATTCTGATCAACCTCATCATGAACTATTTACTGTAAGGAAGAACATTGAATAGAATTTGGGGTTACTTGAACTCTTTGGGAAATATCTTTTCTTTGTGTTGTGGTTGGTGTATGCCCAGGCTCCTTCTAGTCAAACTTCCACCACAAGTGAACAATCAGCACTCTCCAAACTTAACTCATACCCTGTGGATATGGTAAAAAAAAAAAAAAAAATCCCTAATGAGAATACATTCATTAAACTAATCTCTTAGTCAAATAAAGAAGCCAATAGATTGTGGGAATGGCAAAATCAACAAGAGCACAACCCATCAGACTTTCAGGTGAGCTTCTATTATTGAATCAGTATGCACATTAAGAATAATCTGAAATGCAGCTGTAATGGTGGTTCTTGAAGTTTTCTGGGGATTGATAGTTCCAATAAAATAATTAAAACTTCATTTTTTGCTAAAAAAATCATGCATATGTAAGTTCAAACAATTACATTAATGGAAATACATGTAGATGAAAAGCCTACATAGCTTTCTAGAGAGTTAATTATTTATGCAAAAAAAAAAAAAAAAAAAAGAACAAAGGACCTTGGCCAGGCACGGTGGCTCACACCTGTAATACCAGCTCTACGGGAGGCCAAGGTGGGCGGATCACCTGAGGTAAGGAGTTTGAGACCAGCCTGAACAACATGGTAAAACCCCGTCTCTCCTAAAAACACAAAAATTAGCCAAGCATGGTGGCAGGCATCTGTAACCCCAACTACTCAGGAGACTAAGGCAGAAGAATCGCTTGAGCCTGAGAGGCAGAGGTTGCAGTGAGCTGAGATAGTGCCACTGCACTCCAGCCTGGGCGACAGAGCGAAACTCTGTTTAAAAAAAAAAAAAAATTAAAACCTCAATGTTGTCTCTCACTTGGAACCCTCGACGAGTTTAGGCAATAGCAATGATTTTGTCTCCATAATTTATAATTCCAGTCTCATTTCATTCCAGGTAATGTGTTCGGTTTTTCCTTCTGCAAGGCAGGTCCTGAAGGGAGTTACCTTGCCTGTATGCATATGCGTGTGTGTGTGTGTGTGTGTGTGTGTATGTGTGTGTGTGTGCCTTCAAGTAGGTGTATGAAAAAGGGGAGTCATCCCATACTAACTATATAGGTGATAGCAGGTGAGTGAGTCAGGAAAGTGGTTCTTGAACTTTGCGATTAGAAAAAGTTTTCTAAAATGTAAAAGACTGCAGAAATAAATTTAGAATATTAAGGTGGTTTGAGGTTTGTGTAAAATTTAGAAATTGATAAAGCTTTGGGAATCCTAACTTTTTAATGGCAACAAAAATGAAGCGGCTGGATAATGTGGCCAAAGACTCAGGACTATATTTTCCACTTTCAGCATTTTGACTTCCTTATTTTTAGTGTAACAAATTGTTGTGGTTAATGCTTGAGTGTTGGCATTAATGTTTAATGAAAGTTATATTTTTTTCCTCTATGTGATTTTAGGAGATTTTCTGCATGCCTAGGTATAATTTTATTATATGGAGAAGCTGAATCTTTTTTCCAACAGCATACAGCTGTGATTATTATATAATGGGCAAAGAGTTCATGGGAAAATTGTATCCCCTTAATAGGCCTTTGCTGCACACACCTTCTGCTTGTACAGCCCCTGCTTTGTTTGGTGATGTATTCTCATAGAAACTCAAATGCACTTTACTTGGCCTGCTCATTTGAGTAATAATGCACTTACTGAGTGACAGCCTCTACTTGGTAAGAGAAAAACTTCTGCAAATAGTGATCCTGACTGAAATTAATATTCATAAAGTTCGCCTATGCCCTTAAAAGAAGGTAGGTGCTAAATGCGTCTTCCAACCTGGGTCTGCACATGCTTGCGGTGTGTATATACACCATAGTCATATGATAGGACCCAGAAAACATAACCATAACTTCCCTTGTACTCACAACATCAACATGGATGCATTTGCTTAGGAACCAGGGAAGGCTGCAACAAATTAAGTTGCTCTTTTGAGTCTCATATATTTGGAAATGTTCTTCAGGTCTATGTTATTTTTATGAAAATATACCTAACTCTGCTACTAAATTATCAGATTTTCTTTCTTCTTCAAAGCTGCTTTATGATTCTGAAGTACTCGGAAATAAAAAATCAGTTTCCAAATGAAGTAATTGTGTCCCCTTACATAGGGAATCAAGTCTGAGGTGAAGCAGCGTGTCGTCCTTTTAGGGGGTGTGAGGTAAGCAATATGTTTATGTCCTCTTTTGAAGAACAAATAGATAATATATCAGAACACACGACTAGGCCTCAGGAGGTGTGGCAGGCAGAATTATGGCCCCCAAAGATGTCCATGTCTGTAGTCCCCACAACCTGTGAATATATTACCTTATATGGTGAAAAAAAATAAGTGCAAATGGAATTAAGGTTATTAATCAGCTGACCTTAACGGAGCAAGATTATCCAGTTAGGCCCTAGGCCCAGTGTAATCAAAAGGGTCTTATATGGGTGGAGAAGAGAAGCAGAAGAGGGGGTCAGAGTGATGCAATTGGTGGTAGGAAGGAGGAAGAGAGAGAGAGAGGGGGGGGGGACAGATAGAGATAGTTAGATAGACAGATGGGTAGATATATGATAGAGAGAGAGATAGAAACTTCTCAGTTAATATCATAACCTAGTCAACCTCAGTGGAAAAAGACTCAATTATATAGTATTGGTTGGGGAGTAGTTTTGCTGTCTAAAAACCTGTATTTGTTCTGACTGACTGTGATTCAGGTAACCCCAGTGGGTTGGCAAAATTGGATATAAGTTGAGATTTGACTAGGTTTGCATGACCAATAGCCTTTCCAATTTAATAGAATAAACAGCGCTTCTATGTGTGCCTAAGATATTGACATTATCTCAACCAGAATGAATTCTTTGTGGAGGAACAGTAGGATTTTTTGATACAATGGTAAAGAAGACCTATTATACAAGAGCATTTTATCATCTGGATTCAGATATACCAAATGCATACTGTGAAAACCTGCTAGGATTAGCCCACGTTGCAGATGATAGTCCTGTCTTGCGTTCTCACACCATAAGAATGTCCCACTATGTAGTTTATGAATGGAATCTAATTTAAAAACTATAAGATTACAGAAAAGCATGGTTATCTGAACGTTTTATCAATTTTTAAGTAACAAGTCTATTATGTGTGTGAATATATTTAAATATTTTTCTTAATTCTTTACTAGTAGAGTATTAATGTCTAGTGTAATTACGAAAAAAATTTTCTAATTTTTCAAAGTCATATTTAGGTGTTTTAAGACTGTCAGCAATGGTGACTTGGAATTTGTTAATTCTTTCAAGTATTTTTTAGTATTACAAACTAAAAAATAATAAGAAAGTCAGAAAACTTGCAACTTGCCAAGTATTTTAGCTTTTCTGCAGAGGCAAAGATATATACTAGGGCACCAACTATCTGGAGGGACTGTAGTTGATAGACCAGACAGTGTACCTTAAAATTTTATGGCTCACTGACCCCTTTGAAATTTTGATAAAATCTACAGACTCCCTCTTCAGAAAAATGCACACACAGACATACATACACATAAACACACTTTACACTATCTCAGACAGCTTATAGATCCCCTGAAGCCCATTCACGAGCTGCTTAAGGTTAATAACCTGTTGTTCTTTAAAACTTTGTGGCTTTTCAAAGACACGAAACCAGCCCATGTGACCCATCAATGGTGGATTAGATAAAACGTGGTACACTTACACGATGGAATACTACACAGCCATAAAAAAGAATGAAATTATGTCCTTTGCAGCAACATGGATGCAGTTTAAGGACATTACTCTAAGCAAATTAATGCAGAAACAGAAAACCAAATACTGCATGTTCTCATTTATAAGTGGGAGCTAAACATTGGGTACACATGAACACAAAGATGAGAACAATAAACACTGGGAATTCTAAATGGTGGTGGCAGGGGAGAGATGCAAGTGTTGGAAACTACCTATTGGGTGCTATGTTCATTCCTTGGGCAATGGGATCAATAGAAGCCCAAACCTCAGCATCAAGCAACAAAACCTGCACTGTACCCCCTTAACACTTTTTTTATTTTTAAAGAAAAGTTTTCTCAATTAAAATAAATAAAACTTTGTGGCTTTCTTGTTTGGACTACGTTAACACAGTGAACTTGAACTTAGGTTCCTTAAGGGATTCAGGGGACAGGTACGTTGATATCGTAATAAATAAATTATTTGGGTCATACTTTAATTTTAAATTTTAGGCAGTTTATGATCTAACCTCGGGTGAAGTCTAAGTAGTTATTTCTGCTCGAAGTCTAGAGTTTTAAAGCAAGCAGAAAATTTTGATGGGAAATTACTTTTAGGGCTCAGAGTGAAAGAATTCAGACAAAACCAGAGATTATGAAGAGGAGGCAGATTCTGATTTTCCTGATCAGATTTATGAGTGAAATTTGAATTAGGTAGGAAAGAATAAGGAGGTATGCAGTGGTCTTTAGCAATGTGTCATCAAGGCAGGTGGGGTTACATGTAAACGAGGTCTGGCTGGAGGTTGCAGAGGTGCAGGAGATGGTTCTAAGAACCTGGGCACTCAAGTTTTGGGCAATGGAGTCAGAGAATGTCTGGTCAAGAGGAGATGGGTGGGAACAACTAACAATGGACATCATGATTGACTTGATCTTGAACCTTGGTCTTTGGAGGCAGGCAATTTCATGCACTCTTCACTAGGACTGGGACAAGAGGCCCTGAGCTCAAGGGTAGGAATACGTATGCAAATCTAGCAAGGATAGAAAAGCAATGCGAATCTGGGCCTCCAAAGTGTGTGGTGTCCTGTTTTGGAAAAGCACATGGATTTCTTAATACAGTTTATATGTACCTAAATGAAGTTGTGTATCTTAGTAGGCAAATCCTAGCATGATTTAAGGTCATTTACTCCATGGAACTCTTCTGGATCCCTTCCCCCACCCCAATTAAAATTATTAGTAATGTGACTGAGATTACAGCTGAGATCTCCCTGCCTCCTAAGATCTACGTGAATTTGAATCCCCAGCAGAATTTCTGAGGACCTTGGATGACCTTTCATCTTTAATGAAGATTTTTGTTAATTCCTGAAAGATTTCATCAGGGATTCATGTTCTCAACTCCAAGACTTTGTGGCTGTTCTTTGATCTTGTTCTGGCATCAGTCCTAATGTGGAACTCTAACTCTTCTTTTTTGCTTTTGTGCATGTGCACAATATGCACACACACACACTCATGCTCAGATTCACAAAAATTCAACTTTGAAACAACCCTTTGTGGTATAGAACTGACTGTACTGATGGTATGGGGACATGAAGGTTTAATCTAGTTCAGCAATTTAATTGAAAATCAGATATTCAACAGTCTATAAGATGGGGACAAATGAGGGCTGAAGTCTAGCCTTGTTGTTCCCCAAGCCAAAGATGGAGGCTGTGTCTGCCCAGAGGAAGGGTCACCTTTTGAAACACATACAAAGATAGCAGGCCATCCAATCACCAACACTTTTGCTGACCTCACCCAGAGGTGGCTTCTTTTCTGACTTTGTTAAAGACTCCATGTAGCCTAGTAGCAGCTATTCCTTTGGCCATTCTGCCATATTGCTCTGACATTCTTCTTAAGAGCTCTGGACACAGATGGCCTGGGTTTGAACCCTGGCTTTGCCACACAATAGCTGTGTGACAGTGGGCAAGTTATTTATCTGTATCTCATTTTCCTCATCTGTAAAATAGGAATAACAAAGGTTCGACCTACTTTTATAGGGTAATTGTGAGGACTGAACAATGTATAAGCATGTAAAGTGCTTAGAAGTAGCATCTAGAACATAGTGCTGAATAAATGCTAGTCATTAATATACTCCTAAATATGTCATTTCATGCAATGAATAATATTTTATTCATATAATAAAATTTCTAGTAGTTTCATGTTACTGACAGAATAAAGTTCCAACACCTCAACCTGACATTTAAAGTCTGCTCACCACATCTATTTAGTTATATATCCCACTCCTTTGACATACAATAAAGCCTCCACTTTAGCCAGGACAGTTTGCTCACTGATAGCTCCATCTTACTATGTTCACCCCCAACTCTACACCTCTGCTTCTGTTGCTGAACACACCTGATCGCACAATTCACATGACACATTCTCAAAAGATGCTTGATAAATGCACATGAAGGTCAAAGTAATAAAAACATTCTTCCCTAGTGACGAGTGAAAAAATAAAGGAGGAGAGAAATCTGAGCTCATTAACTGGTAGTAAATGAGAATTTAAATAAAAGGCTTTTATTGGGACGTTTATGACCTTTGACTACAATATACTCACCATAGTATATGTCTACCCATAAGCACAACTACAAGGCAAACACCTCCCCTCATTCTTTTCTCCTAACATCTTTCACTTAAATGAAGGTACCAATGATGTTTCTATTAGAGGTATCTGATCTTACGCAAGGATTAAAGTCTAAATATATGGTGTTACAAAGACTGACATTTTAGACTTTAACTAAGAAACGAAATGTGTAATATTTTTCCACATTGCCTTCAAATATCACCCTTTGGGCTGTTGCTTAATTTGCAGGAACACGAACATAGTTTGAATGCTAATTAACGAAAGGGGAAAATGAAAAAGATAAAAGAGGAAGGGCATCCTGACCCCTAGTGTTTACTTTTCCGCCCAACTTCATTGGTAGTGGTTGTGCTGCTACTTCAGAATATTTAATTTGCCTTTTTGCCATCCTTATGACCCAGTTCTTTCTGTTTTGTGACTGTCACTTTGGTGAGAGAGAGAGGCTAAATGCCACTGATTTCCTTCTTTAATTTTGGTGATTATTTCCCATGCCCAGAGGAAAAAGTCATCTGAGAAGCAATCTCAAAAGCTGCTAACAATCTGGCAAGGAATTTAGAGAGCAGATAAAGCTACTGAGAAGTTTTTAGGTGCCCATGGGTAAAATAAATGGTTGGGTTAGCTGACCTTTTGCTTTTGAAGCTGGCATCCAACGAGGCTTCACACAGCGGGTGGAAGGCCTCTGTGGTCCTGACCAGGAGAGATGCTGATCCACGGATCTCCTCAAAAACATGAGTCTAGAAGTAGGAGACCTGTGTTCCATTCTGAGTTCTGTCATTAGATCTTTTAACTGCTCTGTGTCTTAGTTTTTCACATCTGTAAAACAAAGGGCCAGTCACTGAAATATTTATTGAGCACTAGGCATTGTTTGAAGTGTTAGAGATGGGGCAGTGAACAACACTGACAAGGTTCCCGCTCTTTGTGTGTTGGGGTGGGGAATATGGAGGGAATGGAGACGGTCAAGAGAAATGTAAATTAATACAGAAGAAAATTCCAGATACTGATAATAGTTATGGAGAGAAGAACCTTAGGTTGAATTCAAGAAAGTGACTGGGGGTGGATTAGGGAAGGCCTCTCTGAGGAGGCTGACGTTTAAGCTGTACTGAAGGGTGAGAAAGAGGATGTAGGGCAGCTGTTCCCAGAGAGAAGGCAGAGTTGGTGCAAAGAAAGATTCTAAGGCAAAAATTAGTTTAGTGTCTTTGAGGGACTGCTATGAAGAGCGAAAGGAGAGTGACAGGAGATGTGATTAAAGAGGTGGGCAGGGGCCACACAAGACCTCGTTGACATTGTAAGAAAACTTTGAATTTATTCTTATTGCCATGTAAACTCATTAGAGCAGCATTTGTTGTTCAACAGAAATACAATGCAAGCCACACATGTAATTTTAAATTGTCTAGTAGCCTCAATTAAAAGTAAAAAAAAAAAAACCCAAACAACAGATAAATTAGATTTAATAAGATATGTCATTTAACTTATTTATTTCAACTTGTAATCACCATTAAAATTATTAGTGGGCTATTTTACATTCTCTGTTTTTTAGATTAAGTCTTGAAACCCCTGTGTGTATTTTACATTTTTAGCGCATTCCAATTTGGATCCAAAATTTTCATTGGGAATACTTGACCTGCACTGAGACTTCCTAAAATCTTCAATTGATATAGTACATTCACATAGCCAGGTTATTCCAAACATAGTCAAATGCTTTCCAATAATTGAATTATCCATTTTTAAAACTTAATTAATTGAAATTAAACAAAAATAAAAATCCAGCTGGTCAGTTGCGCTAGACACTTTTCAAGTGTTCAACAGGCACATGTGGCTAGTGGCTGCCATATTGGACAGCAGAGCATATAAGAGTTTTAAACACAAAATGACGGGAGTTGATTTGTTTGAAAAGGATCACTGGTTGCTATGCTGTGTCATTTCTTTAAATGACTATGGCACAGAAAGTGTGATATAGGGGACTGATAAGACAAAAGTCAGTAAACATTTTCTGTAAAGAGCCAGAGAGTAAGTACGTTAGGCTCTGTGGGCCATGCAGTCTCTGTCTCAGTGACTCAGTTCTGCTCTTGTAAAGCAAAAGCAGTCATAGGCAATACATGAAAGACTTACCATGGCTGTGTTCCAGTAAAACTTTATTGAGGGACACTGGAATTTGAATTTCATATAATTTCACATGCCATACAATATTATTATTCCTTTGTTTTTTATAATAATTAAAAAATGTAAAAACTATTCTTAGCTTTCAGGACATACAAAAAGAGGCAGCAAAGGGGGATTGTGAGCTTCAGTTTGCTGTCCCCTGCTTTAATGTCCTGTGGCAGCAGTCCCAGTGAGAGGTGCTAGTGTTTAAGAGCTGAGGGTGTGGCCAGGGATGAATGTGATTCCTGCGATAGAGCAGGCTGGACTTGCCGATTGTCTGGGTGTGGGGAGCGAGAGGAGAGAACAGTTAAGAACAAAGCCGGCCACTAGGCTTCAGTTTGAGCCTGAACAGACGATTTCTAAAGTTCCTTTTAGTGCCAACCATTTGTGATCTATGATCTTTAAGATGTATCCATTTTTTTTTTGGACCAACTTTTGGAATGATATGCTTCCTTTTTCTTGAGTGGATGGATTCCAGTATCTGGAAATTGCAAACCTGGAGATTTTCACTGCTAAAGGAGTGTTGTATATTTTAGCTCTTCACTGACAGCCTCATTAAGCCATTTTATAATTTTAAAATTTGTATGTTGTGAAATTTCATGCATCTTAAGAGAAACTTTTCCATGTACCAGTGATATATTTCATTTCTGTTCAGCTATGATCCTATTTAAATAGGTTAAACCTGCTTGTTTTAAAACAGCTTCTAAGGGAATTCTAGATCATTTAGGTCCTTCCCTCCCTTCTTTTTGTTTCATCCTATTGTAGTGATCTCCCAGTGAGCAAAGGTTTCATGGATTAAAACAGTAATTGATTTTGTTTTTAGCTTTTATTTGAATGTATCCTTTCTCCTCAAATACATTATGCAGCTCCAAAGAAACTCATAAATTATAGACAAAGCAAAAGTTAAAATTAGATCTGAGTGTAGTGTAATGTCCAAAGGAAAGTATTTGAAAAGGTTACAAGCTGTCAAAAAACAATTTGTATGGTTAAAAGCCACACAGTTAGATGCTGTTAATGGAGTATCTGTAATGATTATTTGGGCATTGGTTGCTTATTATGTCTCTGTGGCAACTAAGTGTGTTACTTTGGAAGCCAGAGAGACCTGGAATCCAGCACCTATGATACTGGAGAAGTGTGTGGAGGAATGTGCTGTTCCACATCAAATAATCAGTGCCTCTTCTTTCTCCAGATTTTAATAATTCCCCACCCCCTCCCAAATTGTCATTGGTGCTGATTGCAAAAATAAAAACTAGTTACTTCAGTGAAAGAATCATAAAGTCAATCATGTGGATAAAATTACTGAGTTATCCAGCCAGCTGGTCTCTATTTGGCTCCACTTTGGTTCATTAGTTTATGAGGCGAATTCACTCCATATTTAAGGAAAGAATAAACGGCATCAAAACTAGTTTGTAATTAATTGCAGCTTTTTAGAAAGGAATGCATTTGCAAATTGAGAATATGCAATGTCAGGTCCTGCTTTCTGACTGTGTTGTGAACCTGTCTAAAATGTAACTTTCTTTTGTGTTTATGTTAACGCTGGGTACAGGTTATACACTTTTTCAGATGCTAACTATTACTATCTGATTTTAAGAGTTTCTTTTGCACAACTTTAAAACTTTAATATATTATGGGTTGGCCAGAGCATGTGCATCTCCAAACAATATGAGACATTTGGATGCCTAGCAATATAATCTCAGCACCTATTTCATTGTATTGCCATGCAGGCGATTAGATGGGCCTGTGCAACTGTAGGCTGATGTTGAAATGACTGTACATCACAAAACACTGTGGTTTCCATGCTTGATTAATGGTAAAATGGCTAGTTTTAATTACTTGGGTATTTCATGGACCCATAAATAACAAATACATGATTCTCTTGATTTGGAAAGCTTTTATAAATGGACATAAAAGCAGTCAAGCAACTCTAGAACAGGGCTTCTATGCCTCTAGCTCCTCATAACAAGGGCCAGAGTAAATGCAAAGAACACAAAGTGCTTCAAAGAAAAGGAACCCAGTAGATCAGAGCACTGTTTCATGCTAACTCTCATAAACACAGAAAGGAAAAATCTGTTGAACAAAGAAGCCAAATGTCATAAATATGCCTCCCTGTGTCAAAGACTGGGAATTCTTGCTCACAGAGCACAACAGGCAAAGGCAAAACAGATCTTCACTTGGCTACTGATGATGGAAACAATCCGCCTCAGAGTCAGTCAAGCTACTGACAAAAACATTTCTTTGGAAGTGATGGGTATTTAGGATGTAAGCCCTGTGGCTCAAGACTGAGCTTAAAATGTGTTTCGGGGGATGTCCAAGTACAGAAATCTCTACCAGATGCCATGAGACACAAAGGCCACAGAACACGCCATGACATTTGGTCTACCTTTCTCATCCCCTATTTGTCTCCAAGTCCTGGACCATCTGAACTTGTAAGAAATTATCCATGAATTGAAAGTTAAAGAAGAGGTCAGAAATAGGTAAGTAGATCACCATAAAAATAAATTGGTTTCAAATTAGGGAGTTTTAATTTTCTCTTTAGGCATTAGGAAACGAAGGCCCAGGATAAAAATGTTGAAGTAAGTTTCTCAGAATTACCTATTTGCTTAGCATACCTGGGATAATCTGCAGAGCATTTTACCAAATGTCTTTAATATATGATTTAACTAATTTCTCAAAAAAATATTGTAAAGTAGGTAGGGAGAGTTTTATTTTCAAAATTTTACAGGTAAAGGGACTGAAATTCAGACAGATAAGTAATTTGCCCAAGACAACCCAGCTTGGGAGTCATGATCCCTTCAAGCTGGTTCTTTTTGACTCTGTGAACTTTCCATTATTCTAAATTGCCTCCAAATTTAAGTTCCTTTTTTTCTCCATTTGGTAGTCAAGCATAATGAAAAGCTAAAGCATGAGGAAAGAAAGAAAAATGGGCAGAATTACCTGTGCATCTAATTCCACAGGTGATAGTTTTCTTAATTAAATACTGAATACCACCTCATCAGATTGGTGGAAGAGAAAAATCTAGAACTTTGGTAATGCTACTTCATAGAGGAGCCCCTCTTTGCACTCTTAGAATCTATTCTTCCTCTTCTTAGAGGACCCTCAACATTTCCTCTCAAAATCCCCTCAAAATTAATGCAGTCTCAAAAAAAGGAAAAATGAATTTTGCTTAAAAACACAAAGACATAGGGCCCTAAGAAATGTATCACATCAGAAATGCAATTTTAATGGCCTAAGTTATATAAATGACACATAGTAAGACATTATAATTACCTATTATTTACTTGTGTGTTCTAAGAATTACTGAAAATTAATTGGGAGCAAGATTAACAAGTTTAATCACTTTATGAAATATTCATGAGCGTTCATAAAAACCACCAGACATTTCTTTAATGAATTAATGGTATTTAATATCTTTTCACAGAATTTAAGGATGGAAAAACTCCATTAGATAATTCAGTGTATGTTTTTGAAGTTACTGTCAGTCTCCCTGCAGAAAGGGCTACCACACATTGTTCTTAGCTGACAGATCTATCCATAGTCATGCAAGCGATTCTTTTCTGCTTTTAATAATGAACTAGATTCTCCCATCACAGTCAATTGGACATGACAACAACAATAACAAAAATGTTCTTGCAGATGGACAGCACTTATACTTTTCAAAACATACATTCTGGTCTCGGGGCAGGATATCCATTGATTGTTTTTCATAGCCACTGTTAGGCCAGTCTGAGCTCTAGGTTTCAGGAACACCTAGACTCTTAGGGCAAGATTTGAAATTGCATCTGTTTGTAATGCAAATGAAAAAGAACTGAGATGAAATGGCTGCGGTCAGTAATCTGCAAGTGGGGCACACACCGTATATATACTGTGATGCTGAAATGTGCTCTTCTTTTTTTTTTTTAGTTATTATACTTTAAGTTCTAGGGTACATGTGCTCTTCTTATCTTAATTGGTTGTATCCTCCATCCACTCACTACACCTGCCCCCATAAACTTTCCTTAAATCCAGCAGGGATCTACTAGTTGTAATAAGGACTAAAGTAAACAAACTAGATAATTGAATTTTAACAGTATGTCAAGGAAGTATTACTGACAAAATGAGAGGAGATAATAAATGAAAAGGGGATATTAAGAATAAAATTTTTAAAAGGCAAAGAAGAATTTGATGCATAATTTAGGCATGTGGGATACTCAATAATGACTTACCTTTGTTATCCTCATCAAGGTGTCTCCAAGACTATTCAGGGAGAGTGTACTTGGCTCTGTTTATGGAAATCTTGCTGGTTCTATTTCTGAGGGTGTTTTAGTGAACTTTTAGATAATCTTTTAATTTCTAGGGCTAGGTTCATGAAAATCGGCCACTCAGAATGCTATCACTTTTGAATGAGCTTGGAAATCTGATTTTTTAGTATAAAAAGTGGAGGACAAGAACTGGGACTTACAAGAATCACCAAGCACAGACATTTAGTGAAAAACTTGAGCAGTCAGGGCTGTTACTAGCTATTAGCGTTATTACTTCTATAGTGGAAAGAGACATTTTCTCTTGCTGCAGAGTTAGAAAATGGGTAAACAGGTAAATTCTTGGAGGAATTGTATATTTTATCCTGATTTCATCCCATTATGACCTTTAAAATGCAGGTTAAAATTATAAAATTTTAATTATTTTGCATTTTCAAAATTATTTTAGATGGCTCTATCAAATACTTAAAAATTTAGTTTATGGCTTGAATGAGAAAGTATTGTGCACGGACATTTGAAAACTAACAAAATGTGAAAACATGAGGAAAAAAATCATCTGGAATTTCTCCTACCCAGAGAGAATTGGTATTAATATTTGGGTGTATGTCTGTTATACATTTTTATGCATGGAAATATGTTAAATGTATTAAAATTTTAAAGTAATACCTGGACTAGTTAATGAAAATTCAGCCCATGTAGAAAGGTTTAAAACAGAAAGGACAAATCCCCTTTTCTGTACTGAGATAAGCAGCTTTAACGGTTTTTATTTTTCAATTATTCTGATAGTTACTCTTGTAAATGTAAATACTAAATGTTATTGATTTCTTTCTAGCTATATCAACTTCAGAAACACCTTATGACTTCTCATCAGTACATTTTTATCTCTAGGCTTGATTTCTGCTAATTTGTATTATAATATTATCTTTATGACATTAAAGAATGTGTTTTATGATTTAGTAACCTTAGGCAATATCTAATGATATGTGATTTTTGTTGATGTTTTGGTTATATTATTATCTTTACCTTTTCAGGTTTTAAGACATTTACATTCCATTATATAATTAAAATTAACTGTAACTGAGACTTCATATTTTCTTTCTGAGTCTAAAATTTTATAATTAATAAAATAGGCTTTATAATATTATGATTATGTGAATGTTATTTATTACAGAATCAAATAGTGTAAATAGATCCACAGAAGAAGAAGTATAATGAACCTGAAATTGCTAAACCCCTTTTAAGGAAAATTTTCCTAGCATAATATATGAAGGTATGTCAGATATCTATTTAAATTTTTTGAACTTTCTTCACTTCCTCTCATTCATATTCAGTTGATAGTGTTTCCTTTTATCTTAAGTCATCATCTAGCTTGTATTCCTTTTAATTTTTCTTGGACATCCTTCTTAATGAATGGTTTTTATGAGAGTGGCTTGAGTGATAAGTTTTCTGAGTCTTGTCTGATTGATAACGTTTTTGCTTTTACACTTGAAAAGTATAGGTTCAAATGGTTTCTTGTCAGTTTGTTAGAGGAAGAATTGCTCCATTGTTTTGTAGCATTCAAAGGTAATTTCAATTATTGTCTTTTGTGCTAATCTTGATTTTTTGTTTTGTTTTTGTTTTTGTTTTTTAGATGGTCCCTCTCTTTGTTGCCCAGGCTGGAGTGCAGTGGTGCGATCTTGACTCACTGCAACCTCTACCTCCTGGATTCAAGTGATTCTCCTGCCTCCTGTAGTCCCAAGTAGCTGGGACTACAGGCACCCGCCACCAAGTCCAGCTAATTTTTGTATTTTTAGTAGAGATGGGGTTTCACCGTATTGGCCAAGCTAGTC
The DNA here is from genome assembly GCF_000001405.40 of Homo sapiens. Classification (NCBI taxonomy): domain Eukaryota; kingdom Metazoa; phylum Chordata; class Mammalia; order Primates; family Hominidae; genus Homo; species Homo sapiens. Next base: position 36,443,634 of record NC_000015.10, on the reverse strand, counting down.
TTGAAGTCCTGACCTCAAGTGATCTGCCCCCCTCGGCCTCTCAAAGTGCTGGGATTACAGGCGTGAGCCACTCCACTGAGCCTGGCCTTTTAATCTTTTTTTTTTTTTTTAATTCTTTCTTTTTAAAATTCTTGTTTTTTAAATTCTTATCTTTTTAAAAGTTATTTTAGTCACCGCTTTGCTCTTCTTTGCCTTTCAATTGCTTGTTAGATCTTGTTAGATAGATGTTGGATGTCTACATCTCTTAACATTTTACTCATATTTTCTATCTTTTTTATTTTTGCTGTTTGTCTAGGAAATTCCCTCAACTCTGTACTCTTGATTACCAATTTGTTTTATTGGCATTCTTGTATTATTTAGTGTGATGCTAAAGTTTCTAGTCTGTCATTCATATTTTTAATCTTTTTAATGTCTACAATAATGCAATATCTTCTATTGCTCTTTTCTTATTGTGGCCCATTTGAATTTTATGCATATCTTAGCTTCTTTAGTCTCTCTGAGAAAATTAATTAGAAATTTTAAAAAGTATTTTTTGGGCTGGGCATGGTGGCTCATGCCTGTAATCCCAGTACTTTGGGAGGCCTAGGTGGGAGGATCACCTGAGCCCAGGGGATCAAGACCAGGCTAGGCAACACAGTAAGACTCTGTATGTACAAAATTTTTTAAAAAAACAGCCAGGCGTGGTGGTGAGCACCTGTAGTCCCAGCTACTAAGGAAGCTGAGGTGGGAGGATTGTTTGAGCCCTAGAGGTTAAGATTGCAGTGAGTCCTGATCATACCGCTGTACTCTAGCCTGGGTGACAGAGCAAGACCCTGTCTCAAAAAGAAAAAAGAAAAGTGAGTTTTCCATCTCTTCAAAGGTCAGAATTTTGTTTGTTAATTTCGTCCTTCTCCTTTACACCATTGACTTTCCCCAAATGTTTGTTGCTCCCTGATCATCCGTTCATATTTGTGAATGATGGGCTAATTTAATTGATATACATTAATTTAATTTAATTCACTCTGCAGTTGCATAGTCCATGACACACTTTAATACCATGATTTGGTCATATTTTCCTTAGTAAAGTCCAGGAGAAAACAGAATGGGAGGATGGAAGATAAAAGAAGGCAGCACTTCTAAAAGAACAAATAACTCAGTAGGCACAGGTTACTTGGAACTGAAGTGGACTTGAAACTATAGGCAGAATACTGTATTTTACAAATGAGGAAATAGGTAGAAGTTTAAATTATTTGTTTAAAAACAGCAATTATGACTTTTGTTTCAATAATCTTATTTATAAAGAAAACACACTTTAATTTTCTTTGAAGCAACATTGACTTTGACTTGCATGTGGATTAATCTTTATAGAAGGTAATCCCAAGGTGGCGAAATGCACTGAAGTTTCGTGTGCGGAACACAGGCTGTTTAAGCTGTTTCAGACACAAGTTAACTGATTTATTTTGCATAAATTTCTTAGCCATTCTGACCTTCAGTTTCCTTAAATAATCTGTAAATAATCTTAAATTTTTTCCTTAAATTCCTAAATCTTAAATTAATTTCCTTAAATAATCTGTAAAATGTTAAATCTATAATATGATTATTTAACAATACTTACCTCCCAGGACTGTTTAAGAATAAGTATGCAGGCATTCCTGAAATAACAAATGATATTCTTAATAGAATAGTCAGTTGGGTGGTTACCAAATTTTTATTGAGTTTATTATTAGAGTATACTTATTCTTTTAATTGAAATACATAACCAGGAGAGTTATGGAAAACTGAATCACTTGGGAGGATAATGCAGCCTATGAAATATATGTACGATTCTGCAAAGTTTGGATGTTTAATCATTACCCTGAAATTGGAGCATGAAGAAAAGACAAATGAAATGTTCTGAGTAATGTTTTAGACTCTTGTTAATTTAACAGATTGTTAAATGGGATTTTCTTTCTGTCTTGCAGTCTTGGTGGGGACCAAAAAGCTGAAGAAATCAGAGATAAGTGCTGCACATTCTAAGGAAAGGTGCAAGACATCTGCGTAAGACTAGCTTTTCTCTTCTAGTCTGTAGAAAATAATTCTACAAATTTTCAAAGGAAGAGAGTGAGAACATGATTTTTAACAGCATGATTGAGATACAATTTATACACTATACAATTCACCCATGTATAGTGCATGGTTCAATGGCTTTTAATATATTCACAGTTGTGCAACCATCACAACAATCAATTTCAGAACAATTTCATTACCCCTGAAAAGAAGCTCCTCACCCCTTAGCCATCACCTTGCTGCTATGAACATTTGTGTACATGTTTTTGTGTGTACATATATTTTCATTTCTCTGGGGTCCCTGTCTAGGCATGGAATTTTTTGATCACATGGTAACTCTATCTTTAACCTTTTGAGAAACTCCCAGACTGTTTTCCAAAGTGGCTGCATTACTTTACACTCCCACCATCAATGTATGAAGATTCCCATGTTCTACACCCTGGTCAACATTTGCTATTATTTGTCCTATTGATGATACCCCTTCTGTTGAATGCAAAGTGGTATCTCATTGTGGTTTTGATTTGCATTTTCAAGATGGCTGCTGATGTCATAAATCTTTTCATGTACTTATTATTCATTTGTATGTCTTCTTTGGAGAACTGTCTGTTCAGATCTCTTGCCCAGTTTTTAAATTGGGTTATTTGTCACTTTGTCGTAAAAGAAAGCTGGTGGTGTTCCTGGCTTCCCACAGCCATGTAAAATAGCTGTAATGCATGGACATGAGAAAAGAAGACTGACATATCATTCCCTAATTAGGATATTATGACCTTCTGAACCTCCCAGGTCCAGGACTGCCACTGAATTGGAAGCAGAGCCTGAGGAGACAGCCACAGTGAAAGCGGCTTGTATACTCTTAGAGTTTGAGGGGCATTGGTGATGAGCTTTCCTAGGGGCCACGTGGATATCTGACTTTTGATGGCTAGAGTCTTTTAGAAGAGGCCCTGCCCATGAGTGATGCCTGATGGGGGCAGGAGTCCCTAGGGATGTAGCCCCAATTTAAAAGCTAGAGCAGAATCAAAAGTAGTTAGCCAGAGCATGTGTCACTTAGGCAGTGTGGGGGACAGTGCACAGGTCCCAGTCTGGAGCTCTCCAAAGATCCCTCAAAGCAGTCCATGAGATAAAGAGTTTACTTTTACATGAGCACCAATCAAGAAAAACTTTGTCCTTTCTGTCTACCCTCCTCAGGGTACTCCACCAGCCCCCAACCTTGGAGGATCCAGAAACAGAAGAGGAGAAGTAGCAAGCAGAGAGCAGATACAAACAGCACTCCCTGCAATCATTTACCCATTTGTGGTTCTCTAGTTGCAAGCCAGTTGCTTATGCTGGGGTAGGGAAAGGTGCTTTGAAATGGTTTGTTTTGATTTAAATTGGATTGGATATTTTCACATCTGAAAATAATACTGTTCTAATACCCAAAAGTGACAATATAAAAGCTATAGGGAAACTTCCTGAGGTATTTTCCAAGAGAGCAGAAAGCAGGTCTAACAGAGAATTTCTTAAAATAGTGGTAGAGAAAAAGGAAACAAATTCTTGGTTGTATCCCATTGAAATTAGCCTGTTCACCTGCACACACATACATGTGTCTACGTATTCTCACAGTATTGCATTTTTTTCTAGGTTGATGAAATATCTTTAAGCTCTTTGGTCTATGCTTCATAAAAGATAGCAAAATAAAATTTTATGGAATTTCCAATAACAGAACATATGGCAAAGATGGAGTCAAGCAATAGAACCCCAGTTTGTAACTGGCAAATTCGGCAGCAGAGTATACAGACCTATGGTTTGTACTTCTGCTCAGGGCTATTAATATTGTAAATGACTCTAATAACTGACTGCTTAGCTTACATTATGTGATGAAGGATCTTCATTCTCCTGGGCAATCTCAGATCTTTTAATAATTATTGGTTTAATAAGTGAAAATATTCAGTCAACAAAATGGTTATTTGAAATAATACCATATGTAGAAACAATTTTCCAAGTTCACATATTAATATAATAATGTGTTAATTACAGAAAGCTGATTGTTTGGGTAGCGCACTCCTAGAGGCTGAAGTGCAGCAACAATGTGGGTCAGTCCCTGAGAGCCTGAGCTCTTGCATTTTGGTCATGTCAAGCCCAAGATCAAGAGAAAGCTCATGTGGTAAAAAGCTTGGCATGACATCTTAGAGACCCAGAGCACGGAGGCCCTTTACATAAACAGAACAAATCCTTTTCAGTGCTTTTAGACCTTAACAAACATGGGGTGATGTACAAAACTGCACTCCCCCCACTATAAGGCTAGCCCCCACCCTACAAACCCCTGAACTCTTTTCAGCATTTCTTAAATCTGTTCCATTGAACAATCTGCGTTCATTGTAACAAATACAATCTCATTGAATTAGATTCTGAAGAGACTTTATAGTAGAGGAAAAAAGGAGACTGATCCTGTATTCTCTTTAGTTTAAACAAGGAACAGAGCACAGCAAATGAGAAATCTTGGGTGAGCTAAGTTCACTGGAATGGGTGGGGAGGGATGGGGAAGAGGAAGGGGGGAAATTGGAGAGACTTGTACCAGATAAGGAATCCATTTCTAGGTGTCTCAGAAACAAAAAACCCAGTGTTAATGTCTGTGCTTTAATTACATGACTGTTAGGTGTCACTGGGCACGTTTTTATTTTTCTATTACAATGCAATACATTTCTTTGAATTTAAACTTCCTTCAATTGTTAGATAAGGCTTGGAGTCAGAATCACCAAAATTATAAAGTGGGAGGGGAAAAACATGCCAGTAGCTATTGAAAGATGTAACAAAGATTTGACTAATCTGAATATTTATAGTTTGTAATAGCTTATTGGCCATCATAGTCTGATAAACCTGCACTATCGCCCAGGCACACACAATTCATTGCCTAGTATCATTATGATTATCTATGGCTGTCTCATTACTCAACCATTGCTTCACTTGTATCAGGAGTAAAAATAAGCCATAAGCTTCCCTGTTGCTTAACCTAACAACAAATCATTCCAATTCCAAGCCCAATGTCTATTATTCAAAGCAAATTAGGATCGTACAGACAGATTTCTTCTTCCTTCACTGGGGCAGCTGACCTCTCTCCCCTGAAGCTGTCGACCCATGCAAATGTTACACTTAGGAACTCATTCTTGATTTTCGGGAGTTACAAATCCCTAATAACTTAACGAGCAAAACATAGAGTTAGCTTTGCAATGCTTCAGCACACAAATTAGCTAGACAAATAAAAAGGATTAAAAAAATCTTGAAAACAGCACTTATCATCAGTCTCCCATTCAGAAATAATGAAGGGAGATGGTTTATACAGACTTAGTAATAAGACACGACATAAATGTAAATATAACATGTTATGCCCTTTCTTCTGGTGAACAATAAGCATTTTGTTCATTATCCAGAGCCTCTTTGTTTATAATGAATGTGGTGATGAATCGAAGTTATGACATCAATTAAATCACAAGTTTGTATTATTTTCAAACAGACAAAATGCAGATATTTTAAGGCAGGTAGGAAAAATGATGAGTTACTGTCTATTCTTGGTCTCTAAATGAGTTATACATATTCAAAAAAGGAACATTAAAGATGCTCTACAAAGCCAGGATCATATATTACTTTTACTCTGAACAAAGATAACATTTGTAGAATGCCATTAGCAATAAATCTTTTAGATTTTTTCACTTAAAATCTTATGATCCCAATGGGAAGAATAGATAATCAGTAAATAGAACTCTGATATCTGTCAGGAATTTGCCTGAATTAGAGCTGAACTATCTTGACAGGGAGCTTGAGAAAAAAAATTACCTTTGGTATTCTGATGAATGTATTTGAATTTTTCTTTAAAGGCATCACTAAAATAGAAACAAAAGTACTTACCTTGTCACAGTTGAAAAACACAGGATGTGTAGTACATAATTACCAATGATACAAAGTAAATATCGTTGGATAAAAAATACAGACCATAGAATCATTTCAAAGAATATTGAACTTGAATATGTTATAATAAAATATAAACTGTTTGGTATTATGCATTTCTCCTTTTTGTGATTTTGTAATTTCAACGTAAGAGAGAAATATGAATTAAAAATGTTTTATAAATTTTCTCTTTTCTTTTCCAACCAATGGTTATGTAAGGAGAGAAAAAAAGAAGGGAGAGGATTTAAAGCATTCTGGAATAGTCTACATATTATGTCCAGAAAGACATGGTTCTTGTTGACTCTTTGGAGCATTGCAGTATCTGGCCCTGAATGTGATTTAGTTATGGAGTCACTGTGTATTAAATACTCAGTGCAGAAGGTTTCATATCTTTCCATCATCTTGTTTCTCTGGAAAGAAAGGGCTCCCAGAAAGGGGGACTGTAATATGCCGAGGAACTCTTCTTGAGAAGAGAGTTGCCTCGCTAACATCTCTGTGCACAACTCCCCCTGCTTTTCTCCTTAAAACATGCATTGCCCATGAACTGGAATAGAAGATGGCTCATTAGCTTCTTAGGGTCCTCTGGAAGCCATAAGAGGACAGTGGAATGTGGCAGGAGGAGTGCTGGTGGTGTCCACTTCAAAGAACAATCCTCTCTCTCAAATCAGTGTGTGACTGGTACCAGAAAAGGCCACTTAGAGTGAATCTATTCAAAATTGAAGCCAACCTTTTGTGGACAATAGTGGAAAATGGAAAGCTTTGGTTGAGCTTTATCTAAAAATAAAATAGAACATAATGAAAAAAATTAAAAAAAATGCTTAACAATGAAAACGATTCTCTAGTCCTTAGAACAAATGAAAAATTAGCCAAATCTTAATTTTTTTCAATTATCTTCCCAGCATAATTTTAGGGTATTAAATTCTCCACTGGGTACTTGACTTGAAGATCATGCTCATAAAAAGAATCAATTGTGCAAAGATATTCCATGGCTTTTTAAATTTTCAAATGAGTTTTCCTAATTATTTGGTTTTTAGCTTATTCCCTTTTGAATCTCATTATCTTTTTCATTTTCCCTATTTTCAATTTTCTGACCTTGATGGAGCCACAAAATCTTTGCCTGTGACTTGAGCAAGTCTCTAATATCACTTGAATAAATTGTATGAAGTCCTGCATTTTGAAAAGATTTTCAATTTAACTTTTTAGGTTTTTTTTCTATTTACATGGGAAGTTGTAACTATCAGATTGTTAGCAGGATTATAACTGATCAAGATGTTGATTTTGTGGATTAAGGTAGGCACTATATTAATTGCAGAGGGGAGTTTGGGTTGCTACTAATTTTACAATTGCTCAGTTCACCAGTGAATATTTTCATGCTATGACAACTTTTGATTTCCTACGGGGGATTTCTTGATGAGGAATCAGATACCTGTGTCTATCTGACAATCTACTGAAGATTCAGAGAAAACAATGCAGGGATTAATAACAGCTAAATAGCTAATATGTTTTTGAAAGTGAACTATGTTCTAAGCATTTAAACATTTGTGCCTCGGAGTTGTCACTGTGCTATGTAAGAAGGAGGGGCATTTTGGCTTCAGATTGCTTATTTTATTCTTAAATTGCTTAGACTCCTTTGCTGCAGATTCATTGTTCTATCCATCTATTACACATGCATATATGGGTGCTCACTGTCCATCAGACACTGTGCTAGGCCCTGGAGATATAGAGCTAGATCATGCAGAAAGCTCAGGATCTAGTAGGAGACACATCACTCTCTACTGTCCTGAGCAAACAGTACAGCGGAGATCTTTAAAAAAATTTTTTAAAGACTAGTTACTATGATACATTTACTATGTGTCAGAGACCACACTAGATGCTTTACTTAGATCATTTCCTTTATTCTAACAATCTGGTTGGTGGCTGACACTAGATTTGTACCTAGCTTTTTCTGAGGCCAAAGCCATGTTCTTTACCATGGTGCTCCACCACCCACTGCTTCATAGTGAATATAAAGACAAAGGTTTATGTCTAGGTACTGTGAGAACATCTAGGAGGGGACCCTAACCTAGACTGAGGATGCTTATGAAAGCCTCGCTGGGGGTGTCATTATCTTAGCTAGATGCCTGAGGACAAGTGCATAGCCTGTTGGCAAGGAAGAGCAACATGGAGATGTCGTAAAGGGATGGGTTGGATTCAGGAAATTTCTCTTTGTTTTCCTCAGTATTATAAGCATAGTTATAGTATAGACCATTTTACACTACATTACCTAGAATATAACAATGTAATTTCATTTATAATTATGTTTAGCGTTCCTAACATGAAAAAATTCCAAATAAAATCTTGTATCTAATTATTGTCCTCATTTTTGTACAAAAGATTTCAAAAGCCCACTGCCTCGGGCGGTATACTTAAGAGGGATTGTTACTCAACTGATCACTGCTTCTTCTGATTCCTTCTACAATGTATATTTACCAAGAAATGTCACATGGGATTTTGCATTTATATAATGCTTTTTAGGGCAATGAAAACCCAATATAATCAGTCGGCTTATTTAATGTTCAAAGTGCTTAATAAGCTTTTTTTTTTTTTGAATGAACCATCTAAATGAGATTTTTTTTCTTTTTTCATTAATTAACTCACCAGTGCACCAAATACGTATCAGATAAATGAGTTGATAGGGTCCCCAGTTTAGTTGAAGATGCAATACGGAAAGCACTAATTAGGCAGGCAAGAGCTCCAGATAATTAAATAGTGATTAATAGATTTTTGTACTACCAAAATTAAAAGTAACTAATTGGCTGAAAAAATATTTAAAATTGTGTGCTTGGAACTTGTATGTTGAACATGATTCTGTGGGACATGAAGATTATTTTGATTTTAAGAGTAAAGGGTTTTTTTTTTTATTCGTTTTCCCTTTTCTGACATCTTGTGTCAAAGTGTTCCCATGTTAATAGTAGAATATAATGGAAGTTTATGCAATTAAATACAGCAAGAGAATTTATAGACCATTTATCACTGGATATGGGTCATATACTGTGAATTTCAGAAAATAAAAGGGAATTCCATTTGTAGCCTAGTCTTGCCTGAAGCTCACCTAATGAAATCTTTCTCACTCATAGAATTAACAGTGTATCCAGCTGAAAAGTATTTAACATTCTCTATGCATACTAAGCATGCAAAAGTAGAATAAAACCTTGCATACTTACAGGGGATTTTTGTTGCTTTTTCTTCAGCCCAAATTAGGCAGCTCTTGTTCATTTAATGCATTTGAAAGGAGCTGAACTTTTAAAATTCTGAACTGTCAGTCCCCATCATTTCATTTGACAGCTGACACTTTGAGAGTGAAGAACACACAAATCATGTGAGTGGAGTGAAACACTGCTAATAAATGCTATTGTTTTTCCTGATGGAAAGAAGCACCTTAAACAACTGTTTGCAGATCCAATGGGTTTGTTATGATGCAAAATGCATGTTTGGCTGTCACCATTTATGTTTACTACCTGCAGAGCATAAAATTGCTGATAAAAAATTGAAGAAACATAAGGCCAGATTCATTAGGAAAAGAACCATGCTTTTTCTCCTCCCCACCTTACCCCTCAACTTCCCATTTTAATATGATAAACATTGAGTCTTCCTTCATTAAGGCATGGAACTAAATAAATAATGTATGGTTCTTGAGATAATTACAAGATTTCTGTATTTATGGAAAACACAAATTCTGAAACATTTGCTTGTCTGCTTGTACTTTGTGCTTTTTTAGCAAGCAAAGGAACTTGTGAAAATTGGCTCTGCCATTTTGGAATTTTATTTGAGAATATTCATGATCATTTTGGGGGCTTTTTGGCTTTGTTTTTCTCCCATAAAAGATCTGAGGCCAAATGTTTGTAGGTTGAACATATCCTCCTTCCTGATGCAGAAAATCTGTATATCCTTCAGATCTGTTCACCTGACTAAATCATATAAGATGGCATATATTTTACTGAAACTTTCCTTGTTAATATTAATTAATATTAATTAGTTAACTAGCTAACAAGAGGATTGTTCCTAGTTTGTTTTGTAGACACCTACTGTGGAGACAAAGAAATGGTTTGATAAATGATATGCTTTGACTACTTTGTAGCATATGACCACTCATAACACTTTTATCTCTTTAGTCTTTCATAAATGTTGCTATTAAGAGTAGTGAATATCTTTGACTATCTTAGTACACCATAGAAGAATTCTAATAGATTGAAATAGGTCTAAACCAAATAGTGAACTATAAAGTTATGGATTGGGTTTCAGTTATGAAAAAACTATAGAAGTGTGAAAAGCTTGAGTGACTAGTATTTCTTTTTTCTTTTTACAATTTTAGTTTTCAATGCAAATAGTAGGAAAGGGAAATTATTTTCTATATTGTTTCTTGCTGATGAACTGGCAGAGATAACTCACTTAACTGTCTAGACAGGAAATGTATACATACATATGAAAACTTTAGGCTGGGCATGGTGGGCCAGGTGCGGTGGCTCACGCCTGTAATCCCAGCACTTTGGGAGGCCAAGGTGGGCAGATCACGAGGTCAGGAGATCGAGACCATCCTGCCTAACACGATGAAACCCCGTAAAATACAAAAAATTAGCAGGGCGTGGTGGTGGGCGCCTGTAGTCCCAGCTACTCAGGAGGCTGAAGCAGGAGAATGGCGTGAATCCAGGAGGCAGAGCTTGCAGTAAGCCAAGATCGCGCCACTGCACTCCAGCCTGGGCGACAGAGCGACACTTCGTCTCAAAAAAAAAACTTTAAGGAGCTCATTACCACACTGCCTTGAATAATGTTGACATCTTATGCACATAGTTATGCATGTGTATGCATACAAAGTACAGTTGATCAAGAAAGGGTTCAATGGAAAGCCCAGAAAATTAGTTGTAGCGTTATTCTACACACAATTTTTCAGTGCCTTGGTATATCCATCTGGAAGATGAGCAAAGAAAAACTACTTCTCTGAACAAGAAAATGCTTTAGACTTTTGTGGAAAAGTGCCCTTTAAATTCAAGGCAATTTACACACAAATATTATGTATGTAATCTGCATGGTTTTCATAGAAAGGTATGGAGAATCTATATGCCCCGCTGGGAAAATGATAGTTCTTCCCGGAGAAGCCATTGCTTTGCCTTCGAGTTTCACTGCTCTGACCTCTCCTTGAGGGTTTCCTTGAAATGTATTTAACTTCGAGTCACCATCCTACTGTTTGCTTACTCACCTTCTCAAAACCAACAGGTCAGAAGTCAATGGATACTTTTTAAAATTCATGACTGTCATAGGAGGTCTGATTCCCAAGACAGCTGTGGCAAACAACCAGTCTCACAGATGGATAATATCCAGAATGTTATTCTGTGGCTAAGATTTTACTGGAGTTGCCCCTTACACCCACAAATAGGCTGTTTGCTTGGTTTGTCATTCCCTTCCAAAGGTACTTAGGAGGAGTGGAAGCCTAGAGTGAGCAGTTAAGTTCCACCATGTGAGAGCACAAATGAATTAAAGTTCCAGTGACTCAAGTCTCAGAGGCAATTACACAGGTTTTCAGTAGTTAAACCAAGGTGACTTGCAAAAAGCCCAATGCCATTGCTGACTTGATCTTTAAATCAATATGTTTCTGCAGACATTATATATGATAGCATATGTAGGCTGGAAAACAAGGAACTGAGGCCCCAGAACAGATTTAAAGGGGAGAAAGCCTGTCTTTCTATGAGGCTGGATTTTGAAGTATTATCTAGGGCAAAAGTTTTTTAAAATCTTAAATTACCTGTCACTCTATAGCAGAAAACAGTTTCAGAGACTCGACTTTGCTCTTAGATAGTCACTCCACAAAATGTCAAAGACCCCGAAAAGGGCACTTGGAAAGATATATTGCAAATTGTTATGCAATTCCTTATTCCTCTGGCCAGGAGAATTAGGAATTTGGGAGGTATTTTTTATGTGGGGTAGGGGAAAGAGAGGGTAAAGAGTTGACATGGAAATATATTTTTAAGGACCCTAAAGCCTGGGCAGTTTTTTACTGCATAGCTACAGGATACTTTGGCTAAAACAATTTAAAAAGAAGGCAGTGGAGAGACTGAACTGATGGTTACAGAGAGTGCGTTCTGGAAAACCCTTTCAATATAATTTAATTGGAACAGGATATCACTGATCTCAGATTCTTTCCAATTTCATTGGGAGGCCCAGGAAGCAAGGAGGTCAGATACAGTAGTTGCTAAATGGCGTTTGACTATTACCTGGGTTGTGCATAAACCAAACATAGGTTGTGCACAAATATGGGTTAGTTTGATTATTACATGGGTTGTGGATAAAGAAAACCCAGTTAGTAATGTCCTCTGAACCCTGATTAGGACTGAATGCTCATCCTGTGAATTGCAAATTAGTCAACATCTTTGGAAGTGGCTCATGTGTTAAAACCTTGGGTTTTGGAGTCAAGACACACCTGAGTTCAAATCCCAGCCCCACGGTTACTAAATGAGTTCCTTGGGAGATTTACAAAATCTCTCTAGGCCTCAATTTCTCCATCTGTTGAAGATTAACAATAGTATCCATCTACTACGAAATGAGATTATGTGTGGAACATGCATAGCAGAGGTCCTGGTGCTCAGTGTGTGCATAATACAGTTTAGCTAATAAGTTACATGCAGAAACTAATAAAGGGCAGCTGATATGATCATGTTAGTCATAATACAAAGTATTTAGAGTAAAGCAGCCCTGAAAATCTGAGTGGGATTCATACAACTGAAATGCCCTATTCGTAGCACATTGGGTTAAAAAAATGACTTGGGTGTTTATCACCAGTGAAAACACTGCAGAGAGGCCATATTCTAAATGTTTTAAATGTTTTATAACAGTGGCAGCTGAAATGTTATTAAAATGGACAAATGTAAAATACTAAATGTTCTTGGACAAGAGTGATTCACCGAGTGTTCCTTGTATGTGAGCATGTATTACAATCTTTATAAATTTAGACAGAATTGATAACAATACTTGAAAATAAGACATCATGGAAACTCATGCTCAAATGACTTCAGGTTGTGTGAATGAACCTTTTGCCAGTGAAAGAACAAGGAGGATGTGATATCTCTCTTCTATTCACAAAGCCTAAGGGGAAAAAACCCTGAAATATCAGAAACATATGGTTTTAAAGTTCTGTGTCTCAGCCTGCAACATTGATGGGATTTTATGTAAAGAGATAAAAATCTGTGCATGGACTGTCACAAGCTGTTTGGGTGAACGGAGTCACTGCTGCTAAACCACTGTTGATATTCTTAAATGGGTTGCAATGAGAACCACCTGTAAGCCAGACAGGTTTGGAAGTAGTGAAAATCATCAAGGGATACAGGTCAAAATAATGTAAATAAGATGAGTAAAGAAAGGTTGAACAGCATCAATGAGTCAAATGGCAAAAAACCCGTCAAGAACAAAAAATACAGAAACAAGTGTGACTTCTGTCAGAAGCATGGCAGAAGTGTGTTTCAGAAGGATGAGAATAGAATTTATTCATTGGTAGTCTGGAAAATTGCAATTCCTGGATCCATTCACTTTTCATATTATTTGCTCTAATTATGGTAGGCATAAAGTGGATCAGGAGACTACACAGCTTTGGAAAACATATACAGTATTGAGTAATAGAGTAACCAGATTTTGAGGTGAGCATCTTCTTAGGAGTATGCTTGTCAGTGTCCATGACTCTCTTGCAGAGCACGATAAACTGAGGGGAAGATAAAAATTTATCAACATTTTCTACTTTCCTAAGTGAATTCCCATACCTTATCTCATTTGAACCTCATGAGGCAGGCAGGGTAGAGGAATGTCTGACTATCCAACAGCCTTCATGAAATATTTTGTTCTAGATGAATTTGATGAGACATAATGACAATAAAGATAAGTAGAGATAAATTCAGTTGAATTGAATCTACTTCTTCTGAGCATTTGGTTCTCAACGATTCCTGTCTCATTCTTGTCAGACTCAAATTAATAACTTTGCTAGATATTTATTACATAGTTAAAGCACCCTGGATGTTTATGTGTCTGTATGTTGGCATGTCTTTGGATCTGAGTTTTGAAAGATTAAAGTTCCAGCCTTTGGAATTTGGATATATGTTAATTAAAACAAAGCAAAATAAGCAAAGGAAAGCTTGGACTTTGATATTCAAAGACTTGATTCACTTTCCTACTTCTGGCCAATTTTTAAATCAACATTCTACTATATATCAGGCACTGGGTATGTCACCTAATTTGTGTGAACTTCAGTTTCTGGATCAGAAAGTTGAAATAAAGAGCATATCTGTTACTCAAAGTTGCTGCTATGAGGAAGAGATGTAACAATGTTTGAGAAAAGCATATTGTGATCTGTAAATTGTTATTACTCTTGTAATTATTAGTGTCAGGTGGACAGAAAGAATGAGAAAGACAATTTAGCTTGGGAGACTAGCATGAATTAAAGGCATGGAAATATAATGACATACAGAATGTTCGAGAATGACCAAAAGGCAGGTATGACTGGGATGTAAGGGTATAGAAGGAAGTTCTTCAGTGGAGCAGCAAAGTGCTTTATGGAGAGCCTGAATGCTGGGTTACAGAGTTTGCGCTTTATTCTAGGTCCAACAGGGAGTCCTTGAGGATTTTGAATGAGTACTACATCTTCTAGAAAAATTATCTCACATGCTAGAAAAGTGTCCATCCATACATTATCAATGAGGAGACCACAGAATAGTTTTATCCTTAAGCACTGAACAACATTTCTCTTTTGTTCTCCTTTTTCTCCTTGCCTGGCCGACATCATTCTTTGACTACCTTCAATAGTTTTCAGCCTTTGATGTACATTAGTAATTCCTGGCCTTTGCTCCAGCCTATTGAATTCACATCTGGGTGGTAGGGCCCAGGCCCTGCATTTGAAAAGTCAGTACAGGGGATTCTGATGTCAAGACAAAATTGAGAGCCATCTTTTGAACTTGTTCTGTACCTATTATCTCCCTGTGATATACAGAGGAGGCTCTTTAAACTGCAAGAAATATCCATACATTACAGTGGTCTATGATGAACATATAAGGGATATAAGAAAGAGAGAAAGCTCAACCACTTGGCCATGACTCAGGGAAACTGAAAAGAGCAGGCAGGGGCACTATGTCTTATGGGACAAGCAGAAACCACAGTATGCTTGAGTGTCCAGATAACTGGATCACAGTTCAGAGATAGGAAGATGACTCAGGATTCAGTAATGTGGGTGTCATCAACTGAGGTCCAGGGGTCCCTTCCCATTTTCTGCAGGGAATATGACTCAGCTACTTTCCCAGTCCCTGCTGGTTTCTCTGTGTGAATATTCACTCTAGCTCCTATTGCCTGGCAGACTTACTCATTATATCCTCAATGGAAATTCCAGAGAGGGACAACTGGATTAGTCCAGTGACTCATGGAGGAGCATCTGCTTTTGATGAAGTGCTTTCTCTTCAGTCGGGCCAATCACGATTGGGAGGCAGCGTCTTGAACGGTGGAATATGAGTAAGAACTTCTACAGAAGAGGCCAGGGCTTCCCAGAAGGGGGCTATTCAGTAACAGTAATTATCAGCAACCTCTATTTAGCACTTGAGCACATATCTAAATATTTTACATATGTGAAAATTCATTTAATTTTCATAACATGCATAATTTAATTGTTTTCATTTATTTGACAAATATATACAGCGTTGCTCTGTAGCAGGCACTGGTCTTAGTACCTTACAGATGTTGACTCCGTTGATAAAAACTTACGAGGTAACTACTATTGTTTTTTTCATTTTACAGACAAAGACAGTCACAGAGTTAACATGTTTTCTGAGGTCATACCACTAAAAGTGGAAAAACAATTATTTGAACCCAGGCACTCTGGCACATGCTTTATGAGATTCATTTCTTTGCACCCTCAGGTAACCCAAGGTGCTAAAAATCTACTTGTTCCTATTATGTATTCCAGGAGATATGTAAGGCTGACACACAGACTGGCGTGAGGAGGGCAGTTAGCCTGGTGCTTAGCTCTGAATGATCTCAGAGATCAGAATCTTTTCTTTTGAAGTTCTATGTATCTGGTACCCAATAAATGCTCAATAAATATCTATTGAATAACTATGGAATAAATGAATGAATAAATAGAATAAATACATAAGAAAATGAGATTTAAAAAACGTGAGCAGTTGAAGTGGAGTTTGAAGAAAGAAATTTTTGGTTGAGTGAAAAATCACATTTGATCATTTGAGAATGATAGTATTAAGAAAGAATGGTACGACTTGACTTCACCTCTTAACCTCCAGAGACTCCACTGAGAGCTAACCTAAATGTTTGAAAGATTTTTCTTCCTAGTCTTCTTAGCTTGTAAAATTTGAGCAATTAGACATGCCAATATTTAGGAAATAGTTGCTACTTTTCTAGCAAGACACTATGAGAATCAGTCATCATTTAGTATTTTGTTGTAAGTCTTGAGCTATAGTAAAAAAAATGTAAGTAGAAAAAGTTAAGTAAAATCGTATTGACTTAATATGTACATTAGGCATATTGGCATTTGAATGGGTTTAAATTTATTCATGCATTTTTAAAGGGAAAAATAGTGATTAAAAGGAAAACTCAGAGACTTTTTTGGGAACATAGTCTTTAAAAAAATTATAAAGAAAACATATTTTTACTTAATCAGCAGGACAAGTATAAGCTCATCAATAAAAATGGGGAGCACAAAATAAAGGCAAAGCAAGGCTGACGACAGCCTGGCTCTATTGTCTAACTGTGGAAGAAGCAGGAAAATAACAGCTGCAGACATGCAATAAACAAGCACAAGGGACTAAGTTGGAGCTTGATGCCAAATTAAACCTGTGCGTGAACCTTATTTGTTTCGTTGCAGTTAAGGAAAGACACTACCATTCAAATAGACAAGCTACATAAGACAGACTACGTATACACTGGAATCAGAGTCTCCAATCAGAAAGGGATTTTGTGTCTCTTTTCCTGTTAAGAACCTGGTTTAGACAGCTCTGCTACCTATAAACATTTGCTCTAATCAATTAGAGAAGGAGAGCCTAAGAAATGGTCATGCAAAATATTCGGACAATGTCACATGATGCCTGAAGACTGCTCTCATTTTAACTGGGATAAAGAGGACATTTCTCCATTCAAGAGCTGCTTCTGATTGTTCTATGTTTCTGATGCATTTTTACTAACGCAATACATAGGGTAATAAGATACTCATGTTACAGACACATTATGTAATAGTCTGTATCGTTTATATCCTTATTTGTTTTCAGGAAAATCAAGTTTTATTTTTACTTCTGTGAAACAATGTCATTTCAACTTATTTATACATATTCCTTTATCAGGAAATAATTTTATCCTGGATATCCCTTTAATGTCTTGCAAAATGTCTCCCCATTCTTTTTCATCTCTTAATATATTTTTCCCACCCCACTACCCAACTGTGGCCAAGATATGGAATATAAATAAATGGAAATATGCAGTAATTCTGGTTTGTAATTGAGAAATGTATATACTCATCACTTTCTTAGCAAGGTTTTAATAACAAACACTGAGTATAGGAAAAGACTAGCAGAATAGAAATCTTTAATTAGAATCTCTCAAAACCTACCTTTAAAAATTAATTCAAATAGGAAATTATTTAGATTAATTGACTTATTTACTGCTCTATTTTATCAAAATATTATTCTTTGTTGTCTGAATTGCTCTTATAGCTTCCTGTACCATAACAAGGTATCATAGTTACGTACCATATCATAGCTAGGGAGGAACTAGCTGTTTTAAGCAGTTTATAATCTGGGGAACAAAGGCAGGAAGAGGTTGAATTATATGCTTAAATTATGAGGCAAATAAGAAAATTCTTTTGAGTAACTCACCATTTGGTGATTCCCATTGGCCACTCTCTCATATCAAGTACCCCGTCTCTGATAAAGTTTATTGAAAACTGAATAAGAATTATTTTCTTGGTAATAAGTTAGAATCCATTCTGTAGGATGAAGCTAGTTTTAATTTTTCAGTAGTCTTCTTTAGATTGTCGTTGATGTGGCTGAATGTAGTGCTGTTAAGTACCCAGATCTGGAGCTGATGTTAATGGAGGATGAAGTGAGGAAGACATTTGGATGAATTCTAATTACAGCAGCAGTTCTGATTCTTTTATTTGTGGAAATTTGGCAAACTTCAGTGGACTTAGTAGTGCTTTGCAAATGTGACATGAGTTGAGCAGGCTTGGGTCCTACTGAAAGCTTACAATGTGCCTTGGCTTTGGTAAAGTGTCTGTGGGAAGATGTGATATAAACATTACCCAAACTTTACTGTGGTATAGGGGTAAAAAAATGCATAAGTGAAACTTTCCCTCACCACATTTTCCATGTATTTTGGCTCTTGATTTTGGCTAGGTGTCACCATGGAATTACACAGATAGGTAATATTCTAATGAGATAATCAAATAGCCCAGTCAGATTAATATAACAAAATACGTTGTTGGAAAAGAAATGGTGTTGAATTTAGCTTTCTATTCTCAATAGAGGTTTTAACAGTAACAAACAAACAAAAATAACAGCCATAACGTACTCCAAAAAAGTAATCGGCTTTTGACTGTCATTGGAAACCAAACCGACGTTTCAAACTTTAGAACTCTAGAATAATTTTATGAAGGTAGAAATGCTACTAAGGATTTATGATTGTCATATTTAAAAAATTCATTCATTCTGCTTGGTGAGCACGTGTGTGAGTGTGTATGTTTAGAAATGGTGGTAGTAGCAGTAAACAATTTTTGAGCTGTAGATTTCCCTAAACTTCATGTCCACTATTGACGGGGTCAAAGGATACTATAACATGGATTTGTCTGCCTCATCTGGCAGCTTCAGTCCAGCAGAAATGAGAGAAGAGAGCCATGAAAGCAGAGGCTGAGGAGCAGCATCCAGTTAATAATGTGGGGCAACACACCCAGGGCTCACAATGATGGACTCCGTAGAGTGGGGCAAAAACATTCTTACGGCCTTTCGCATGGAAACTGTATCACCAGCCCCACTTCCTACCTCTCAAGAATGTCTGAGTTTTAAATGAACAAACGATTGGTGAGGTGAGATGCCAAAATAAGGAGAAACATATTAACCTTCTTTGAGGTGGAGACAGGGGAAAGGTACTTCCCAGAGGGAGGTTTACAAAGTGAAAGCCACTTTAATTCCTCCACAGCGTTTTCTTTCTTCCTTTCAATTGTTATATTTAGCAAGGGCCCCTTTCTGTTTTCTTAGCTTTGCTAAGTAAAGCATTTAGGATGACTAGCTTTTTTGGTGTTCTATGAATTAAAACTTGTAGGGTGTTAGGAGATATTTTGATCTCTCTCTCTCTCTCTCACTTTCTTTTTGAGACAGGGTCTCTCTCTAGTCCTTATTGAAGATGACAAAAAATTATTTTTTTGAAGATGCATGATAGAAAAAAATATATGATCAAAATGGGTTCCTATAACCCATTTCACCTCTGAATTGCCTCTTTTTTCTCTCTCTCTTTATTTCCTTCTTTCTTTTTTCTTTCTGTCTTTCCCGTTATCAAAAAATGTTTCTTAAATGTACAAAGTATAGAAGGCATAAATTGTTTCTTTATTAATAAATGCAATTTTAGCAGTAGATGTGTAAATTTTAAGTTAGTCATTTACTTTCTGCTTGTTCATTTTCTCAGTGTGGAATTGTTTCTTAATGTAGAGTTCTAATGGCTTTTTTAGTTTTAACATGTATTAAATTTTCTGCTATCCAGCCTTTTACCAATATATACACTTTAGCTGGGATTCTTGTGTAGAAAGTATAGCAGGATTATATTTCAAGATTCTGAGGAATGTGTGGAATTGTGAGAGATTAATTTACATTCACTGCAGTTATGGTATTACAATTATTTATTATATTGTAATCATCTGAAAATTGTAAATCAAAGAGTAGCATATAAGAGGGGGTCTTCAAAATGTTCATGGAAAATGTGTGTTATAAAAAACAATGCATGGATTTCAAATTTTTTTTGCACCAAAATAAACTTATACTAACTTGTAACATGTCCAAACAGGATCTAGTTTAAGGTACAAAGAAGATTAAGACATCAATTGAAAGAGCACCTATTAGAGCAACATAAATTCTGCTAAAATTGAAGCAAGAACAAACATCAAATTTATGGTGAAGGTTGGGTAGAGGAGTGATGAAATCATTGATGCTCTATAGAAAGTTTCTGGGAATAATGCCCCAAAGAAATCAGCAGTTTACAAATATATAACCCATTTTAAGAAGGGATGAGGTGATGTTGAAAATGAAGTCCACAGCAGCAGCCTGTCAACATCAATTTGTGAGGAAAAAAATTAATCTTCTTCATGCCCTGATTGAAGAGGACTGATGATTACCGGTAGGAACTATAGCCACTTGATTCAGTGTATACAATTCTGACTGAAAAGTTAAAGTTAAGCAAACTTTCCACTTGATAGGTACCCAAATTGTTGTGCCCAGAGCTGTTGCAGACAAGAACAAAGTTTTGGATGGAAAGTTTCAACAAGTGGAATTAAGATCCTGAAGGCTTTCTTTGAAAACTTGGAACAGGAGATGAAACACAGCTTTATCAGTACAATCCTGAAGACAAAGTACAATCAAAGCAATGGCTACCAAGAGGTGGAAGTGGCCTGGTTAAAGCAAACATGGACTGGTCAAGAGCAGAGATCATGGCAGTGGTTTTTGAGTTGCTGAAAACATTTTGTTTGTTGGCTTTCTGGAGGGCCAAAGAATGATAACATCTGCTTATTATGACACTGTTTTGAGAAAGTTAGGCAAAGCTTTAGCAGAAAAACATGCAGGAATGCTTCACTATAGAGTCTTCCACCATGACAACGCTTCTGCTCACTCTTCTCATCAAACAAGCACAGTTTTGCAATAGTTTTGATGGGAAATTATTAGGCATTCATCTTACAGTCCTGGCTTGGCGCCTCCTGACTTCTTTTTGTTTCCTAATGTTAAAAACTGTGTAAAGGCACTCATTTTTCTTCAGTTAATCATGTGAAAAAGACTGCATTGACATGGTTAAATTCCCATTTCCCTCAGTTCTTTTTCAATTTTTTAAAATTTCTTGTATTATTATACTTTAAGTTCTGGGATATATGTGCAGAACGTGCAGGTTTGTTATATAGGTATACACATGCCATGGTGGTTTGCTGCACCCATCAACCCGCCATCTACATTAGATATTTCTCCTAGTGCTATCCCTCCCCTTGCCCCCCACCCCCTGAAAGGCCCCGGTGTGTGATGTTTCCTTCCCTGTGCCCTTATGTTCTCATTGTTCCACTCCCACTTATGAGTGAGAACATGTGGTGTTTGGGTTTCTGTTCCTGTGTTAGTTTGCTGAGAATGATGGTTTCCACCTTCATCCATGTCCCTGCGAAGGACATGAACTCATCCTTTTCTATGGCTACATAGTTCTCCGTGGTATATATGTGTCACATTTTCTTTATCCAGTCTATCACTGATGGACATTTGGGTTGATTCCAAGTCTTCGCTATTGTGAATAGTGCCACAATAAACATACGTGTGCATGTGTCTTTATGGCAGAATGATTTATAATCGTTTGAGTATATACCCAGTAATGGGATGGCTGGGTCAAATGGTATTTCTAGTTCTAGATCCTTGAGGAATCGCCACACTGTCTTCCACAATGGTTGAACTAATTTACACCCCCACCAACAGTGTAAAAGCATTCCTATTTCTCCACATCTTCTTCAGCATCTGTTGTTTCCTGACTTTTTAGTGATAGCCATTCCCCAGTACCCTCAGTTCTTTAGGGATGAACTAAATGGCTGGTATCATCACTTACAAAGGTGTTTTAAACTTGAGCTTCTGTTGGAAAAAAAAAGTTTATGTATTTTACTTTTATCTTTTAATTCCATTTTCCACGAACTTTTTGAAGTCCCTTCCCATAATGACTACATAAAAGTTGATTAGAATCCTCCATTGTCCCTCCATGTTAGACAGTATTTTTCATATAAATATTTTAAAGCACATTGCAAATGATGGCATCCTTTTTTTACTGATGGATTGACCAAGGTACCAAGCCAGGTGCCTATGCCAGGTTATGTTTAGAGAATAGAGAAGCTGGGAATTTTTTCCCCTCATTTCTCCTCTCCCTCACTTTAGCTTTGATTATATTCATCATTACTCTTCTCCCATGATGTTCACTCTAGATAACAGGTTGTTTTGAATGGTACTATCTAGAGGTTTTATCCTGGTGGAATAAGGAGATTTTCACACATAAAAAATGATGCTTCTTGCATTTAGTAGCTAAGTTTGGGATCCTACTAACAGAATGATTATAGTCAATAAATATGGAAAGTAGCCTGATAATGAAAGGAAGAAATATTAAAATTTGTATCTTTAAGGCTACTTATGATAAATTAAATGTCTTTCTTTGACAGAATAATTTAAACATTGCTTTATTACTGCAGGCCACACACTCTGTTATTAAAATAATTCTGAGTTTTCACATGTGCATGTTGTTCCAACAGCCCTGCATATTTTCTTGTTTTATGCCTGAAACCAAATTAATTACTTTGTTTAATTTCATGAACATGCCAAGCTGCAGTTATGAATAGCTAGTAATATCAAGTGTTTACATAGAGAGTATGAGATGTTCCAATAAATATCTACCCAATTACCAAACAGCTGAAGGCAATATTGTTTCCAGGTAAGCTGAACAAATTATATGTTTGCTATATTTAACAGAAAATGAAGCAATTGCAAAGTCAGCACTGAAGTTTTGTTAAAATATGATGAAGCTCATAATGTCAAATTAAACTTTATTAACAAACCAATTTGAAAATACAATATTGCATAAGACAATGTGTTTTTAAAGCTAAAGAATCTCAGTGAAAACACAGATGCATCTTGAGTATCCAGTGTACTGTCGCTATAGACATTTTTTGACACACCTTCATGAGGTGAAGAGAAATCAGTGTGGGAGGGCAGTTCAGCTGCATATTGTACTTTTATAGGTCTGTTAGCCTAGAAAAAGATATAAACATATTTTCCAAATACAAAATAACAACAACAACAAATTTTTGTATCAGTGCTCTGGTGTTTGCATAGTTCATAGTTTTCTATAAGTTATCTTATTTAATTCTTAGGCAAGACTCTGGAGGAAGTTGGTATAATTAATGTTTTCCAAAAATAATTTTTATTTTACAAGTGAGAGAATTAATGTTGTGCTAGAATTAGGATGAGGGTGAGGGTGATCAGGGTGAACGTTAGAGTGTATTAAGGTTAAAATTAGGTTGGGCCTCTCTTGTTGAATGACCTGCACCAGAATTCTCTCCACATAGTGGATGTATATCTGTATTGGTTGGAGGTGACTAAAAGGGGATATAGGACCACCTAGAACTTCAGGTTCAAGGGAATTGGGCATTGAGCTCTGAAGCCTGAATTTAATCCTGAATTATAGCTGTCTCTTGTGAGACTCTAGTTCTAGCATTCAGTCAAGACAGAAGAAGGAAAATATATCAACAGTCATAGGCTTGGGTCTGTGGTTAATACTCCATAGTTAAGGAGAGTCTCCACCGACCACTGTCCCTGGTCCTCCATCTCCCTTCATCCTCACAGGATCTTGTCTTATGTATCTTCTCTTTTGCCATCAGTTTTATTAAGTCCCTGTTTAGCTGCTGGGGGTAAACAGCTTTGTTTGCTTACAATCACTTTCCCTGCTCATCTGCTTTGATTTCTGACTGAACAGACCAAAATAAAGAGACCCCAAATACTAAGACCCTGGTCACTGTGTCTGCTGAGATATTGGAATCTTTGGAGGTAGCTTCTAATCTTGAGAATCCGCAGATGTTTCCCAGAGTTGCCTATTTACTCCTTTGCTACTTTTTTTTCCTTTTCAAATTTGAAGTTGTTAGTGAGGTTTTCCTTGACTCACCTTCTTTTTCTGGTATTACCTCCAGGATGTACAAGTGGGGTTGAGAATGGCAACAACCCTCTAGGAAATTTTTGGTATTTTGCTCTGCCTTTTCTGTTAAATCTTTCCAGTAAAGGGTTGAACACTTTTACATTTATTTGCTCTTGTTGGTTGCCCCATTCACTTTAAAAAGTATAATTGGTCGCTTTGTTGGATATTGGAGAAAAGACATTCTGCACTCTGATTTCACTTTGCTCATTTTCCTCAAAAATCCTCTCAAATCTTTTTAATTTCAGTTAATTATCAAAACACAAAATACATGCTTGCATAACGCATTTATACTTTTCATATGAGAAAATAGTTTTCTGTGACTATTATCTCTTCCAAAATGACTTTCATGACTGAGTGCCTCTGTCTGAGGCAGTGGCTGACCCTTTTTGTAATCTGATTTGTAAGCTTGTATTTCACTGAACTTCTTAAATGACACTTCACACTCTTGACCAGTTCTCCTGGGAAACTCTATTTGTTGGCTTCTACTAAACATTTCTGAATCAATTTTGATCTTTCTTATTCCTTCTGGGTTTCTTCATGAGAACCTCTTCCTCTGTCTATCCTTAAAACTCCGTGTTTCCCAGGGGTTTGTCCTGGCGCACTGCCCTTTTCAGAAAATATGTACTACTGGCATAATCTTATATATTACATATGGGAATAAAAATAGATCAGTAGGTGAGGGGGAAGTTAGATGCTTAGGTGTGGTCATGTTGAATTTAAGGTAGCTATGACACTTTCAAGGAGAGACTGTACTATAGGCCTTTAGAGATATGAGTCAGGATTAAACAAGAAGTCTATGCTAGAAATTTAGATACAAAAATACTCTAGGAGCCAACTGAATATCAAAGCTTGTCTTCTTACATACTGTGTATCTTCATTCCTTTTTTTTTGAGATGGAGTCCCGCTCTGTCGCCCAGGCTGGAGTGCAGTGGCGTGATTTTGGCTCACTGCAATCTCTGCCTCTCTGGTTCAAGTGATTCTCCTGCCTCAGCCTCTTTAATAGCTGGAACTACAGGCGCCCGCCACCACGCCAGCTAATTTTTATATTTTTAGTAGAGACGAGGTTTCACCATGTTAGCCAGGATGGTCTCGATCTCCTGACCTCGTGATCCGCCCGCCTGGGCCTCCCAAAGTGTTGGGATTACAGGTATGAGCCACCGCGCTGGCCTCTTCATTCATTTAATGTCAGAGCTCTAGGACTATAACCCAGCACCTACTACACAGTCAACTGAAAGTCCCAGACAAACACAAATACAGACATATCCCAATAATATCCCAAACTTTATTGGTCATTCTCCTCTCTCCTGCCTTCTCTACTTTTTCTGTATTTGTATTCCTCCATTTAGTAAATCATATCACCCTAAGCCCTTTGACCTAAGTTTCTTGGGAGTCATCTTAGACTTCCTTCTTTTCCTCAACATCTATAATTTGTCAATGATCAAGAACTATAGATTCTACCTACTGAATGGTATCGTGTTTTCATCCATCCACTGTGTTTTGGTTACAATACTTTCTGCGGCAAATAATAGCAAACCTGACTAAAAGTTGTTTAAATATCAAGGACTCTTGCCATTATGCATAAAAAAGATTCTGGACTTAGGCTGTTTCCAGGGTTAGTTCAGCAGTTGAAACTATCAGAACTCTGGGATGGCTTTTCTACAGCTTCTTTGATCTTCTGCTTCAGCAATATAGCAATGTAGCAATAAACATCACTTTCTCCCTTAACAAAATCCAGAAGCCAAAAGGATAGGGTTCTTTCTCGAATTCCTCAGTCTTCCTATCAGGGTGGAAAATCTTTCCTAGGGATACCCTTCCTCCCACTACCATCAGCAGCCTCCCCGCAGGTTCATTGGTAAGGACTGGGTCTCACAGTCACTCAGACTCCTTGTCTATCTGGCTTTCTAGGCTTCCACAGCGGAGACAGGCTCCTCCGGGAAGGAAGCAGAATGGGAAAATGTCTGTCTGTCATTTCCCCACTTTCCCTCCAAGTTGCTTTGCTGTTGCAGGACTGAAGACTTTTATGTCTGGCCTAGACTAATAAATTCTTGAATTATCTCCCCACTGCCCCTGCCACCAACAAAGTCTACTGGAGTGAGCTTTCCAAAACACATCACAAATATTAACAAAAATGTTATTCCTTTTAATTTTCTATTTCAACCATTTTCATATTTGATAAAGAATTTTTACATAAGTTAAACCCATGTTAATTCATTAGGAAAGAGATATTCAGAGATTGAATCCACAGCTAAAGATGTCATCTAAAAACTATGAATAAGAAGCTACAACTTTTGAGAGTCTGAGGGATGATGGAAGAAGCATTGCTTGGAATAGCATTTCTTTTCCTTGGTCAACAGAAAATGTACAGGTAGGCTACTCACTCTTGGGACACTGAAGGTGTGACTGCCTCCCAAATTTTTGAACATAAATCTAGTCACTATATTTTACAAGCAAATAATGTGGACACCTAATATATTTTCATGATGGGTACACCTGAGAAGTTGCAACTTATATTTTTAATAAAATCATAAAATCACAGAGGAATTTGTGCCTTAAAGTAACATTACTTTGATTCTTTTATTAAAAAAAAAAGAATCTCTTGTAATGTAAACAAGCTCAGAGTCAAGAAAAATTGCTTTCTGAAATCAAGGAACATCTGGATTATATATTCTTAATAGACGTTCAATAAAATATAGAAATGTGACAAGCATGCTTTTATGCAAATAAAGAAGCTTGCAAAATAACACGAACATTTTTGTCTGGGAATCTCTTGAAAACATTATGATAGCCTTGTTTTTGTACTTTTTATGTCATGAAGAGGTCATTTCAGCATCATACTTTATTTAGAGACTTAAAAATTATTCTCGAGTTATTTTAGGTACAGAAACTAAAAATAATGTTAATGGCATAGTTGGAATATTTATGAATGGCTGATACTATTTTGGAGTGAATACAGATGATTACATCTGTATATAATATTAGTAGGAAAATTTTTTTTGCAGAAATAGGATCATAATGTTCACATCGTTCTACATCTTGCTTTTTCACTGACAATATATCATGACTATTCAATTACATTTTCTACTATATTATAGAACATGTTAACTTTTTGCAGAAAATTAATTTTTTAGTTGAGTCTTAAGGTTAATATTAAAATTAATATTCTTTCCTAAAGCATCCACACTAATAACTATGCAAAGACTAACAGTGGGAGTAACTCTTTTGGGCTTTTAAATATATTTTACAAAGCTGAAGTATATAATTTATGTTATAAATTTATCCAGGATGGAAAAGGGGTAAGTGTGGGCAGTGTAGGAAAAGAAATCAAGGAAGAGTCTGGTCCTTCCTCATTCAGTGACCAGTGTCTTCCTCTTTCCTCCCAAACTCTCAGTTTCAACCTTCCAGTCAGGGCTTGTGGTGGCTGGGAAAGCTCCACAAAGGCGGACTGGACTCTCAGGCTCACATCTCAAATATGGCTTGTGGGTGTGGTTGTCCTCTCTAGAGCCTGGCTCAGTGGAGAACACGTAAAGAAAGCCATCAGAGACACAGTTTGGCTCATAGTAAACACTCAATAAATAAATAAATACATACATATTATTATTATTATTATTATTATTATTATTTTTGAGGATGTTCTGGTCTTAGAATCTTACCATACATAAACCTGGGACCCACACCCAAATATTCTAATTTTATTAATTTGGGTAGGGGCCCGGGCATCAGTGTTTGCTTCTAATATGCCTCCAACAGTGAGAAGCAGCTATCTCTGAAACAGGACATCCCATGAGCTAGCTCTCACTGCATACTTATTTGGTTGCCAGGCAGTGTTCTTCATGATTCACACACTCCTTTAGTTCTCATAGCAATCTGTGATAGGGTTTATTATCCTCACTATGATGATAAGGAAACTGAAGCACAGAGACAGTAAGTAGCTTGCTCAATGCCACATAGCTAGCAAATTGCTGACTTAGGATTTGAAGCCCAAATTGGAGCATTCAGTAAAATAGAATATCCAGCAACAAGAGAAGAATGCTGAAAGCTTCCTCACATTTTCAACTATAGGAAGAACTTGGAGTCACTAGGTTGAACAACCGGTTAATGGTCAGTAAGGAGACTGAAGGCTAGAGAGAAACAGATGCTGCCACGTATCAAGACCTTGTTAGCTTAAGAGGCAAAACTTCAGCCTTCAATCTAACTGAGTTGTGAGTTAAAGAGAGCTCTGGTGACTCTCTGACATAGCTGCAGTTTCAGATTTTGCAGTCTGCTATGTACCTAAGTGAGTAAAAGAGAGTGTGCTTACCAGAGTGTTAGACATATGGGTTTGTCTAAAGTGCTTATTATTTTAAATTTCCCCAAGTCAACTTTCCTTGAGTTGACTATTGTTTATAGTGACTGCTTTAATGTTTTAATGAAAATATTAGTTTAGATAGGAAGTCTTTAAACTTTTAGTTCATGTCTAGGCTAACTCTTGACAATGCTACAAAATAATATAGTTGCCTCAAATTACAGGTGTTTCCTATAGAGTATGTCACATAAGTCATAGATATTTAAATTTTCACAATAGTGACAGAAGAGTCACCATTGAATTCTGACATTTCCCAACCTATTAACTTAGGCAACATAAATGAGTTTGTGGGGGGAAAGCATACTAAACTTTAGAGAAGAAGACAGAAAGGGTAAGTTTTAGGAGATGGTGTCCTTTCAGGACAGGTAACGCTAAGGGGGACCCTTGAAGAATGAGAGGGGAAGAAACCCCTAAAGCTGGAAGATATCACCAAGACTGCAAGTGCTAGTCAAAAAGGGTGTGGCAGGGAAATACGGTAATACATTTCCTCTGCTTCAGCAGTTTGTGTGCTTAACCAGTAAGTACTGTTGTGGGTTTTCCGTGATGTGTAATCACTAGAACCTTAGAGATGATTGAGCTTTGTAAACACTGACTGCTCAAAGCCGAATGAATAATTCGTGTGAAACTCTAATTTTCTTATTTGAGAAGTACTGTAAATTTGGAAGAGTGAAGTGATGAGAAACTAAATGAAAACCAAGTCCCTCAGTTATTTTACATTCCTTTATTGATGATTTCAGTCCCTCAAAACTGCGATGCCTATTATTCAGTCTTCTAAAATTTGACAATTCTCTGGTCTAGTGCGAACTACTCAAACACTTGAGTAATTAAGAGTATACCTGCAACCACAACTGGACACAGATTTCACCCTAAAAGTTGCAGAAATGTTAAATGCCTTTACGAGTCTGTGTAAGCAGAAGTTGGATGTTCTGAAAGTTTTAAGCCATTTGTTATTAACATTTCAAGTGTATTTGAATATTGAATATATTTTACTAATTATCCTTAAATTAGACATATTTTTGAAAGCTGAATTTCTCAATTTGTATTATTTTCCTGGGAATTATTCCTAGTTTTGAAAGCAAAATGCCAATTTGAGAAAATAAAAATCATGAAAGGTTGTAAGAATAAAGCTCATGAATAAAAACAAAATTTATTCTCATTTAAGACAAGGCCATTTGGATGAAGGTGGTCTAAGTACACTTCCCAATCTCTTCTCCATCCTTTTCCCCTTATGTCGGTGAAACCTGAAGGATAGACTGGACTATTCTCTTAGGGGAAGCTGAGCAAGACAGGGCCTCAATCTCTGTGGCAGTGTTGTTCAATACAAGGATAATGTGAGCTGTGCTGCAGTCTACATATGTAATTTTTAATTTTCCTGCATCCACATTAAAACAGGTAAAAATAGGCCAGGTGCAGTGGCTCATGCCTGTAATCCTAGCACTTTGGGAGGCTGAAGGGGTGGATTGCCTGAGCTCAGGACTTCAAGACCAGCCTGGGCAACAAGTGAAACCCCATCTCTACTAAAACACAAAAAATTAGCAGGGCGTGGCAGTGTGTGCTTGTAGTCCCAGCTACTAGGGAGGCTGAGGGAGGAGAACTGCTTGAACCCGGGAGGCAGAGGTTGCAGTGAGCCGAGATCATGCCACTTCACTCCAGCCTGGGCGACAGAATGAGAATCCATCTCAAAAAAAAAAAAAAAGTAAAAATAAAGAATGAACATTAATTTTAGTAATTTATTCAATTTTTAAATAATTTTAAAAATAAAGTTTACTTAGCTTAATATGTCAAAAATATTTTAGCACATAATATGAAAACGTGAAGAAGATAGTTTACTTCTTTTGTACTATGCCTTTAAAATTTGGTGTGTATTTTACGCTTATAAGACATCTCATGCCAATCTAGCTGTATTTCAGGTGCTTGATGATCACACATAGCGAATGGCTACCATATCGGTGAGGCTTCATGGTATCATTAAGAAAAAACTTATGGACCAGTGTAAAAGTTGAAGGCTTGCCTTTGTTCAGGATTTAGGGAAAGATCCTAGACTTCAAGGTGTCTCTGCAAAGGGCACATCTGCTGGCTTGCTGTGCTCAGCCTGGAAGAGCTCCTAGATCTGCTAACTTTGGACCTTTGAGAGAGGACCACAGCGGTGTGCTGAAGCATTTCTAGGTCTTGCAGCTAGAAGATGATGATGTGTGCGGTGGCTCACGCCTGTAATCCCAGCACTTTGGGAGGCCGAGGAGTGTGGATCACGAGGTCAGGAGGTTGAGACCATCCTGGCTAACATGGTGAAATCCCGTCTCTACTAAAAATACAAAAAAAAAAAAAAAAAAAAAAAAAATTAGCTGGGAGTGGTGGCGGGTGCCTGTAGTCCCAACTACTCAGGAGGCTGAGGCGGGAGAATGGCCTGAACCCAGGAGGCAGAGCTTGCAGTGAGCCAAGATTGTGCCACTGCACTCCAGCCTGGGCGACAGAGCGAGACTCCATCTCAAAAAAAAAAAAAAAAAAAGACGATGAAGATGCCCCTGAGAGTAGAGGGGACACTTTCAAGTGTCAGCAGAAGGATATTTTACCAGTTTATGCTGCTAGTCCACAAAAACAGAAACTTCTCTCCTACTAGAACTAGTCAGATTAATTCTCTGTGAGAGAGACAAACAGCCTGACCTATAGTAACAATGAAAGAAGACACAGCCCTGTATAGACACAGAGCATAACTAATATTTCAAGACTAAGTCACATGATGGAGAAGACCAAATTGAAAACTAGAATAGAAAGAGTACTACCAAATTAGAACTAATGAAAAAGATGGAGAGAAATTAAAGAAAAAAGTAATGACTCTCAAGGAGATACATTTAGAATAGAAAAAGGATTTTTCAGAATTGTCATGGTCAACTTTGGCTGCTATGACAAAATACATGACTAGGTGGCTTAAACAATAGACACTTATGTCTCACAGATCTGGAGGCTCAGAAGTCCAAGATCAAGGTACCAGATTTGGTTCTTGGTGAAGGCAGTCTTCCGTGTTTACAGAGAGTTACCTTCTTTCTGTATCCTCGCGTGGTGGAGAGAAGCAGTTCTGGTGTCTCTTTCTTCTCTTACAAGGGCAGTCATCCATCTTATCATGGGGGCTCTAACCTCATGACCTCATCTAAACCTAATTACTTCCCAAAGGCGCTGCCTACTACAGGTCAAGACCAGCTGATCTGTAGCCAACTTACAGGCTTGAACAGGCTTGTAAGTCAGTAAGATTTTGTAGGTTAGGCAGCATCTTTACAGCAAAAATACGACTAATGCAAAATAATTCCACAAATAATTGAGGAAAATTTCCTGAGCTGAAGAAAAACTTTAATATTTAAATTGAAAGGATTCATTCAGTTCCAAAGACTATTAATGAAAACAAACTTACAACTAAATATATCCTTGTGAAATTTTAAGAATAAATTGTGAAGAAAAGAGAATCAGTCTGTTATAAACATTCTTAATTTTTTTTTATAAAGAGAAGATCATAAATTTTAAAGAAAACAGAAAAAAAAAGAACTTCGAAACAGAGATTCTTTACCTATCTAAGATATTTATCTGTCAGGGTAAGAGAAAGTCAAGGCATTGGAGAATATACCACTCAGTCACCTATTTAAGTAAAGATTTTGAGGGAGGCTTCCAACTTTTTGTTAATGGAATCAGATTATCTATTTCATGATAATGGGAAATAAAGAAAAGAGGAAAAGTGGTAACAAATCTTGCAATAATTAAGACTTAGTAGGTGGTTAAAAATTAACTGGGAATTTATTACATAAAGTAAGAATTAATTCAACAATAGAGAAACTCCAGAAGGGATAACATAATAATAACTTAAAATTAAAACTTATAGCCTACCTAAGTAAAATTCCGTGGCAAGAAGAAGCATTATAAAAGCCCCTTCTCAGTGGGGGGAAATGGAGAGTTGGGGAATAAGAGACTCTAATAGTCTCTTTTAGTGGCTGAGATAAAAGGTAAGGAAGCAGTGAACAAGCAAGCATGACAGTTATTAACTAATGTTGATATACTAATCAAGTATATTTTAAAATTATCATTATTAGGAATCACTAGTGAAATAAATAAGCACAATTTAATTTCCAGATTACCTGGGGAGGGAGGGAAAGGGGGAAGATAAACAGAAACTTAAGCCAGCAAAATTTATGAAAATGGAATAGAAGAAAAACAATAACTTATAATAAACATTAAACATAAAATGAGATTAAAAGAAAAAAAATCCATCATTCCAATAAATGCAAATGGGCTAAATATCTGGCCATATGCTAAGTGCTAGTAAAGAATATCTCTCCTTCTCTTTTGCTTAGTACTTTTAATTGTTTGGCATAGGATGTAATTTAAAACTTTAAAATTAGAAGTGATCAAAACATGTTATTTTTTTGTATTTAGTTACGGAAAATAGCATTTGGATTTTAGATTCTGTTATTACTTTAGATTCTGTTATTTCTTTAATATCTTCTTACTGAGGAAGCCATATATAGTTCTCTTTCTCCAAATGTTTAGTTATTAAACTGGGTGTTAGAGATATATAGCAAAATGACCATTTAAACTTAGTGTTACCCAGATATTAAAAATGTGAGATTTTTTTTTTTGTCAAAATCCTACCAAAAACTCTCTTTCAATTTTATAGTGACTAATTACCAAGCTGCTCCTTTTCTCATCCCATGCAGAGTGGACTGCTTTTGTATGGGTCTTTTTTTTTTTTTTTTTTTTTTTGAGACGGAGTCCCGCTCTTTAGCCCAGGCCGGACTGCAGTGGCACAATCTCGGCTCACTGCAAGCTCCGCCTCCCAGGTTCACGCCATTCTCCTGCCTCAGCCTCCCGAGTAGCTGGGACTACAGGCGCCCGCCACCGCACCCGGCTAATTTTTTTGTATTTTTAGTAGAGACGGGGTTTCACCGTGTTAGCCAGGATGGTCTCGATCTCCTGACCCTGTGATCCGCCCGCCTCGGCCTCCCAAAGTGCTGGGATTACAGGCGTGAGCCACCACGCCCAGCCTGTATGGCTCTTATAATGATGTCCTTATTTATATTTTTAACATGCTCAGGGCTCATTAGATAAACCACTGGAAAATTATTTACTTTATCCTTGTATGGAGTGAAGAGGTATTCCATTTTTTAAAAAAGGGGCATGGGAGTATAAGGAAGAAGAGGAAGGCTATTTTTTTAAAGAATGTATCTGAGATATAATGTATTATAAGACTTTATTTACATTAATGAAGTTAGATGTTCAAAGTCCAGTCATAATCATTCTGCCAAAAAGACACATGTTCTCTTACATTCATTGCAGTGTTATTCACGATAGCAAAGACATGGAATCAACCTAGGTGCCCATCAATGGTGAATGGGTAAAGAAAATTTGGTGCATGGAACACTATGCAGCAATGAAAAAGAATGAAATCATGTCCTTTGCAGCAACGTGGATGCAATTGGAGACCATTATCCTAAGCGAATTAATGCAGGAACAGAAAATCAAATACTGCACGTTCTCACTTATAAGTGGGAGTTAACCAATGGGTACTCACGGGCATAACGATGGCAGCAATAGACTCTGGGGATTACTAGAGTGGGTAGGGAGCAAGGAGAGCAAGGGTTAAAAAGCCAACTAGGGGTACTATGCTCAGGACTTAGGTACTGGGATCATTATACCCGAAACCTTAGCATCCCGCAAAATACCCAGGTAATGAACTTGCACATGTACCCCCGAATCTAAAATAAGAGTTGAAATTATATTTTAAAAGTCCAGTTATAGTTTGTAAATTTTCTTATTATTGAACTGTACAAAACAAATTTCTGTGGAAAAGAAGAGAATTAAGAAGTGACCATTGAGCAGTGGTAAATAGCAACCAGCTTCATGTGAGTATCTTCATTTCGGTTCATATATTACAGCTTGAGACTTAAGACTAAATCAGTCTTTCTTTTTTTTTTTCTTTTCTTTTTTTGAGACAGGGTCTTGCTATGTTGCCTAGGCTGGTTTCAAACTCCTGGGCACAAGCGATTCTCCTGCCTCAGCCTCCAGAATAGCTGGGACTACAGGTGTGCACAACCATGCAGGGCCTATCCTAAATCAGCCTTGTCTTTTTAGTGCATTTGACTCACACTTCCACTTTTAAAATCAATCTTTTTTCCTCTACCTCTTCTTTTTTTTCCCCTTAAATCTTAAAGAAAAATTTCTGACAATGTTCAAAATTTTTATAAAATTTATAAATTTTATAAAGGTTTATAAATTGCTCATGAGGAAGCATTTTCAAAGGGAGAAGCTAAACCAAGCTAACCTCTTTCCAGTTGCTTAAAACCATTGTTTCTGGGGTTTGCTTAATCTGTTTATTTCTATAATCAAAAAGGGTCAAAATCTATTGTCTCATTCCCACTTCACTCTGATTTTCGGAACACGACACCTGAGTCTTTGATTTTTTTTCCCCTTGCCATTTGCCATACAAAGAATTATACAGCTCAATAAAATGAAAGACTCAGCACTGTGTGGTTAATCCAAGTGGATGAAAGGATTTTGAGATAGGTTAACGGTTCTGATTGTTTTCTCCTATTGATTTTTAGGATGATTATATTTTATTTATGGGGCAAAAAACTTAGACTTGTATGTGAACCGCCTTGAGAGTAAACTAGGCATCTTTCAGGTTGAAGAATTTTATGTGAATTTGTAATGATTTGTAGAAAATATAGAAAGGGGAATATGATGATAAGTAACAGTTTCATTTTAAGAAAGGATTATGTCTTTAGAGAGCCTATCTGGTATATGGGGTTGAATTAGTTTAATTGAACTGACGATTTTTATTTAATTTAATTAATTTATTTATTTGTTATTATTATTATTTTTTTTTATTTGAGATGGAGTCTCGCTCTGTCACCCAGGTTGGAGTGCAATGGCGTAATCTCAGCTCACTGCAGCCTCCATCTCACAGGTTCAAGTGATTCTCCTGCCTCAGCTTCCCGAGTAGCTGAGATTACAAGTTTCCGCCACCACGCCCAGCTAATTTTGTACTTTTAATAGAGACAGGGTTTCACCATGTTAGCCAGGCTGGTCTCGAGCTCCTGACCTCAGGTGATCTGCGGGCCTCAGCCTCCCAAAGTGCTAGGATTACAGGCGTGAGCCACTGCGCCTGGCCGAACTGACCATTTTTAGTAGCTGACAAAAGCAGAAACAAAAGGTGGTCCCTTTTTGTCTCTAGTCCGAAGAAAGATCAGAAGAGTGGATCATC
Organism: Homo sapiens; assembly: GCF_000001405.40. Classification (NCBI taxonomy): domain Eukaryota; kingdom Metazoa; phylum Chordata; class Mammalia; order Primates; family Hominidae; genus Homo; species Homo sapiens. The sequence continues at coordinate 36,408,142 of NC_000015.10, read as the reverse complement.
CAGGTTGGAGTGGTATGGGAGTGAAAAAAATAATACTGAATCTTGGGTCAACTCCTTGCTGCTTGACTTCTGAGATTCCTTACAGCCTTTTGAAAGGCTGTGCTGATGCCCCTGACATTAAGGCAGGATGGCTCCCTTTCTGGAATCCTGACATAAACGCATTTTTCTCTTTGCAGTGCTGGCTTGAATTCTTTGGATCTATTTCAAGTGAAGCAGATGACTAATCACCCCCTTCTGCTAGTAGATAATGGGTTGTCTATAAAACCTTGTTTTTGTGTGGTTACCTTATTGTGAAGTTCATGTCTTTTGAGGAACATTTGCAACTGAAAGGCAAGGAAAATGTCCACTCCAGGGTGTAGTAAAGCTGACAGGGGGAAAAAAAAACCAGACTAAATGACGTGGCTCTGTTGTTTTTTAGTTTCCTGAGAGAAAGTGGCCTTGACCCCCATGCGTTACTGCTTTTGAGATTCTAACAGCAGATGGTACGAAATGACAGTTGGTGAAGACAACTGAAGGTGTTTCTAACATTGCAGGGTTGTGCAGGTGACTTTAAAAACAAAGGATTTGGAAGTGATAAAAAGTGGAGACTGGCAGGAGAGATGGTAATAAAGCCACTAGCTACTTGAGGCAATGTCCCTCCTTTTTTTTTTTTATTGCATGATTGCAAATTAAAGAGGGAAAAAAATTAACCCCAGGCAGAAAAGAATATTCAGCCCTTACCTCAGTGGTTTTAGAACAACAACAACAAAAAAACCCCTAGTCTTTGGTTTTTAGATTAGATATTTTTTTTCTTTTGCCTGCTGGTTGCCATACAAAGAGATATAGCTCAATAAAATGAAAGATCCACAGCACCGTGTTTCATAGCAAGAGCCTGGAGGGATTCTGAGCCAGGTTAATGGATATGATGGTTTTCCCTTCATTGATTTTTAAGATGATTATATTTTATTTATAGGCAAGAAAATAATAGTTAATCTTAGATTTATTGAAAACTTATTGCAAGGCTGCACGAATTGATAACAATAACAGTACATTTAGGGCAACAAAACTAGACTTGTCTTTAATCCCTTAAGTGCTGATGTGCAGGGAACCTATTGACTTGAAATTAAATGTGCTCTAACCCACAACTGAATCCAGGTGGGGAAGAGTTATATTTTTCTGGCTGCTCTGAAAGATTTCATTACACAAAGCTTTGGTACACCTGGGGTGTTTCTTTTGTAAAAACGATGTGAAAAATCTAAGAGCTGAGAGCTCAGGAGTATCAGCATGTTGTTCTCTGGAGGCTTTAAGAACTGGTTTCCAAGTCAGCCAGTCATTTGTCAGCTAAAAAGCCTACTGGTCAACCATAATTGTGTCCAGAGGTTTGAATCTTAAACAAGGATGTGTGCGTTCTAAGATGCAGAAAAAGCTCAAAACATTAGCTTATGATAACTCAGAATTCCATTGACTTGAGGTGATTATAATTTGTTTTTGCGTTCTAACTGAGTTCAGGGACCTTTTGTATTTGGAGCAAATGAATCCCTGTTCACCAAACAGGGGCAGTACGTTTGAATAATAAAGATAGAACACTGGGTCTTTGTCTCTCTCAGGATTGAATAATTGTCAATACAGTCACATTATATTTGTGACTCTGAAATGCCAGCTAGAGGGCTTCAATATGCAGTGCTCATAGGAAGTGAAGGGACCAAAAACATATTCTCCAGCAATTCAGACAAACTTTTCCAGAGAATTGAATGTTTGTGGAGAGAAAGAAAAGAAAATATTTAAAATGTCCTGTAGAGCCAAGAAGTTTTGACCATTGCAGTCACCCAAAATAAAATGTGTCATTGTTTTACGGTACTTTAAAGTTCACTTTTATTAAAAGTGCCATATTAACTTACACTGTAGCTAATATGGGTGGTTCAAGTGCACTATTACCTGTGAAGCAAATGTTCATTTTTCAGTTATGCTATGGTCTTATTTTTCAGAAATCTTGACTTGAATGCTTAGTCACTTTCTGTTAAACGCAGTGACAGAATATAAAACGAACTTCCCACCAGAAGTGTTGGGTATACAGATATTCCCAGCAAGGACAAACCAACATTCTAAAATGAATGCTAGAAATCGTTGACTTTCTGTGTCTGAATCCAGGATATATTCAAAGGAAGAAGTCAGAGAAACAAAATAGTTATGCAGTGAGTGAGGTTTCCTTTTTTACTTAATTATTCTGTGTTTAGTTCAATTATCCATATTACTTGAAGCTCTATATTTAGAAGAAAAAGAGAGACTAGAATAAGGATGTTTCCAAAGTTGAACCTCAGGTTCACAAAACTCTGGATATAACAGCAGACGTTTTTCTACAGCTGAATATCAATCAGTAAAGTTTTATACTTACTGAAGTACATGTAGCATTTTCCTGCTAGGAAAATGGAGAAATTGAAATAAATCTTCAGGCTGGACATAAAGACAAAAACATGGAGATAAGATATTTGAAAATCCCAGGAAGAAATCTGATTTCAGAAAAGAAAGAAATTTAAAATGAAGCAAGAGATGAACCATGTCTTTTACCCAAACAATCTCTGTCCAGAATTTTTGAACACAAACACAATTTCTGTTATTCTCTATATTTGACTTCATTTTTCTTGGCCCCATCTTGAATTATCAATAAGTTGTCCAGAAAATTCAAAAACACAACTCTGGTGAACATTTTGTATGAGTCAAGACAATAAAGAACATGAAGATGCTCTGATGAGAAATCTGTTTTCTCAAAATTTTTGGTTTACTTTTTAATATTTGTGAAATAATAATAATGTTCATGTTTTATCAAAATGTGTGGTGCTTCTCTGATCAGAAATTCTCATGTAGGTATTTTAACTTATCTTCATCTTAAATCTACTAAAAACTTTCTGAAATATGGAATTATTAAAGAAACTAGAAAGAGGCATTGTGTTTAGGTTTTCTTTTAACAATATTTTTCTGATGTCAAAAGTATAGATATTTATTGTCAAAAGTTTAAACTAAAAGAAAAAAAGGCCATTACGTCTGACTCTCTTTTCTAAAGGTTAATTCCTGTTAACATACAAACACACGGTTAGAATTACACATGCTGTTTAGTTACCTTTTTTTGGTTCTTGTTTTTTTTCACACAACCATATATAATGAGAAACCTCCTTTTAAACAACAAATGTAGACAGTTCTTTCAAATGGTTTAACTTTAAAAAGTAATAGCATGTCATATTCTTATTCTTTTTGGCTAAATCATATTTCTGTTAAATTTTGCTGTTTTCCATTTTCATTTCCATTTATTTCTGGAGGTGAGATTCAATTGGACGAGAACGGGGCAGGGCATATTGATTAAGGTTCAATTTATTATCTTTAAGTTTTAGTTATGTTTTTGATCTCCTTTCTTAGCCTCATCGCACAAGATTTTTCAATCTGTACATATTTTGTATACTTAATGAATTTAATAAAAATTGTGAGTAAAATGTTATGAAGATGTTGACATATTAATATTTCAAGAAGAAAAACATATTTAATGTATGATATACTACTTTATTAATTTCCTGATAAAATGCTATTCTGTCCTTGATTCTTATACAGTTAAACAATACCTCGCTCTTATTAATTTAGCATAATCAAGGATTATAATCACTAAAATCATCGATACTCAAGACAATCAACTGAAAAGGTCAGGATTTCTAAGAACTCCTTCAAATGATATGAAATTGCTTTCTTATATGCCAGAAACAACCACTTAGAAATCATAATGGAAAAAAAAATCTTTCAATTTATAATGACATCGATTATATAAAATACATGAGAATAATCTTAACAAGAGTAACTCGTGGTTGGTTTACCCTTTGAGCAAATTCTGTTTTTACTTCCCACTGATTCTGACTTCAAAGCAGGACTCAGTGGGTATTCATATTCTCTTCATAGGAAATATACTCCTCAAAGTATTCAGAAACTCTGTAGCATTTACTAAAGATGTCATTGACTTTTGGCTGGAAGGTTTACACGGCTTTTTCCGCAAGAACATTCCCTCAGTATTGTCTCCCCTTGTCTGCCTCTTTTTTTGGTAATCTATAATTAAATCAGGGAGGTCCTCCTTTGACCCTTTTTCCATGCAGCCTTTAATCATGGAAACTAATAGGGCATGCAAATGGCCAAGATCACTTATATATGAACAGTTCATAGAAACAGTAGGGAAAGCATTGTTTCTAAAATACAACTGGAGAAGGATATAAACATATAAACATGAGTAGGAAATACAAACTAATAAACTAAAAAAAATCAACCTTAAAAAAGAATTACAAGTTAAAGAAATAATAAAACATCATTTTCACTTAACAAATTTGCAGTATTTTAAAAAGATGAACATGTGTGTTAGGTTTTTGTGAGGTATCACTCGTACTCTCAGTGGTAGTCGAAATTGTTAGAATTCCAGCAAGAAATTTGACAATATTTTCAAGAGTCTAAAATGTAGCCAATTTTCTTGATTTAGTTCAGAACCTCATCATCTCAGTTGAAACGTCCTCCTAATTAATCTCCTTGACAACAGCTTAAATCTTACCACACCAGAGAGAATTCTTCCCAGGAAATAAACCTGATTATGCCAGGCTCCCTGGTGGGCCCCCAATCCCTCGTTAATGACGTTGTTGTGTCCCTTATGCAAACACATGCAGGCCATTCATAGACAACCAGCAATAGATACTGTTTATTGGACAATTATATTTTAGTAAGTTTTCTAGGTGCTTCTGAATTTATCTCAGTTAATACTCATAACAACCCAATGGAGTAGGCGCAATTGTTGTCCCCATTTTACATATGAGACACAAGGTAGTTAACTAACTTTCTCAAGGTCATCCAGTCAGTTTGAATCCAGAGTCTGAGCTTTAACCTCTATATATGCTATAAAAAGATACCTAACCTTAACCTCATCTACCAGACCCCTGAGCATGCTACCCTTCATCCACATGAATATTCCTCCCATTCCCTAAATGTAATTGGCTCCTTGATACTTTAGGCATACGTTAATTATTTTGCCTAGGATTCCTGTACTCAGCCAACCACTAATACAACTTATCCTGAAAATCCAGCATAACATACTCATCACATTGTATTGTTAATTATTTTTACACTAGTTATGGCAGAAACTCTTATTCATCTTCCCCTTTTTAATGAAAAATCCTCGGGTTTCCTTGTGATTAGGTGTGGCCCTGTTTCTAAGTTCTCTCCAGTGTTCTTTTTAGTTGTGGGAGGTGGAGAAGAAAGTTCCCTGAATGTGGGGTGGGGAAGGGTGTTCTTTCTGCCAAAATCCCCTTCTTGCTAGAGCTCCAGCAGCCAGATTGTGACCTTGAGGATTAAAGATCATGAAGGGAAAAAGATCAAAGAAGTCTGGGTCCTTGGTGGCTTCAAAAGCCACCATACCAGCCTGGGGCTGCTCACCTGTGTATGTATACCGGTTATGAGTAACTGTATGCAATTCCTAAGTAACATATTTGTAAAACCTAGAAACAAAATTTTTACTTAGTATTATTATTATAATGCTTGGATCACAGTCTCCAGCATGGAGTAAGAGGCACTTCTGAAAATGCTTGTTAAATACATGTAATTTTTTATACAAGGCAAGTGTAAGTAATATTATCATGAAAGGCAACATAAGTAAATGCTGGGGATTTGTGACCAATTTTTCTTTTAATCCAGACCTGTAATCAAGTTCATGAAGCTCTCTTTCACATCACAAGATCAGATGGCAATATAAACATATACTTTCATTTTTATCATCCATTTCCTACCAAGTTTTTGGTGCTTGGGGTAAAATGGAGAATCGGGATGATGTGGTGCTCGATTCAGGTTCAGTAAGTTCTTGCATCTGAGCATTACGCTGAGGCTTGTGTGAAAGTGGGATTTATCCCTGAATGATCTTGATGATTGTTTTAGCAGTCTAATATAACTTATTTTGAATTTTATATATATATATATATATATATTTTTTTTTTTTTTTTTTTTGCTTTAAAAATACATGCTGCATCCAGGGAGGGATTGTGTCAGATAATCTGGAGAGCATTGAACAAAACTCTTTACTTTTGAAATGCATCATCATTTAGATGATGATACCAAATTGCCTCCTTTTTTATGCTGTTTACAGAACTCAAGAAGAAAACATGAGATTATTTATTGCCCAAGTCAAGTGCCCAAATAACCGATTTGGAAGACAACAAGAGATTACACAAATAAAATAAGAATGCTATTTTAAAATGTAATATCCTGAAACATACCTGATTACATACTTATGATCCTAGATTGATGGAATCAGTAAAATCCGAGAAGCATTTTATTTCCACACTGGATGTATGTAGCAAACCCTAAGTCCATGTTTTAAGAGGCTTATGGGGTACAACCAGTTTCACTTTCTGTCTCGGGTTCTCCCATAGAGATATTGTAACAAAAATAGACACTCCTACTCAGATTTTTATTCATAATTCCATGATATTTGTGCATTTGGGAAAATGTATTGCTTACTTCAGTAAGCCCATCTGATTTACCTTTTTATTTTCATTTTTTATTTTTTTAAACATTGAATGTTTTATTTATTTTAACAGAAGAAAAAAAGTTTACAAAAAATAAAAGATTCCAGAAAGTTTTGAGCTAGGGATTGAAACCATAAAGGTGATGTGAAAAGCTCATCGTTATTTTGTTATGACTTCAAGAGTACAAGTGTTCGGGTAGAAATATTTCCTGAATTGTTGCTCCACAATTCTGCATTCTTTCTTCACTTTTCTTGCTTAAGTTCTGACCACTTTCTGAACATAATTTGTTGAATAATGGATATTTAAAATGAAGTTTTTTCCAGATAATATGGCTTTCTTTTTTCCTCTAATAAAAACATTCCAAATCAAGCCAGTTTTGCAATTTGCTTTAAGCAACTGCCTAAGTAAGAGGTTACTAAGAGGTGTACTCTGTGAAGTAAACTTAACCTCTTAGCATTAAAACTACAGCATTGAGCCTGGCCCAATATCTCATCAACTCTTCATCCAAAACCAGGACTCAGCTGGCAGACTGGCCCCAAGGACTGCTTCCTGCATCTAGTTTACTTAGCCAGTGGTGCCCATCATACCAGCATATTCTGCGGGACTCTTCTGGAAGAAAAGGCCTCTCTAGTTGGAAGAGGCCTCATGGAATGTAGTTATTAATTAGGGAGAAAGAAAACAAAGTACTTAGCTGTTTGACAATCAATCAAAAATGGCAAAAAACCTTTCCTGATAGCATAAAAAGTTCCCTTGGACTAAATGTTTTGAATTTTTAAAAGGCTAAAAGGAGAAGCATGTCCCTGATTTTATTTTTCTCAGGGACTGCATGAGTGCCACACTCTCTGGAAATGCAGGTGAGCAACGAGACATCAACATGGGCTTGATCTTTGCTTTTGGCATTAACAGAATTCTGAAGCAAAGTAGAACAAGCCTACTTGTTCTTACTATTCTGCCCATGTCATCTTTTCACATCACCTTGTATACGTATTGAAGAAATACAGCAAGATCATAATCCTGACAATTAAAAAAAGCCCCCCCAATAAACAAACCAAAAATAACACAAAACAAAACTTTTTTTTTTTTTGTATTTTTAAGAGCAAGAATAAAGAAAAGGAAAGAATTTATTTCTGGGTCTCAAAGTTAATAAACATAATAATGTGTTAGGTTGTACCTATTATGCTCTCTATTCCAACCTTTTTTTTTTTAGTTTACAAAATGAATTACTGTCACTTTTAAACATTGTGAAACAAGAAATGGATGTGCACAACTCGACACTTTTCTAGCATTCTTGAACTAATTCACAAATGCAAGAAAATAAAAGACAAATGAGGGAAATGATGAATGTAGGTAGTTTGGTGTTAAAAACTAATGCAGGAATGATGCACTTTGTCACAGAAAGAAGAGGTGAAATTCCCCATCCTGTTTTGCGTGCTATGAGGGTCATTTTTTAAAATGTTTATTATAAACACTATTAAATTCAGACTGCTTTTTTGTTTTTTTTTTCTTTATCTGAATATACAAGAACGTTCATTACCAAATGTTCATCATCAATACTACAGAGAACGAGACACAAGTCACAAGAAACAATGGAAAATGTTAATAAAGCTGAAAGAATTGTTGAGTTTTTTTTTGTTTTTTTTAAAGTTTTTTTTTAAATTTGAGTTTCTGTGGTTTCATCTTTTTTGGTATCGAAGTCAGGTTTTTCTGGGCAGAAAAACAAAAAGCAGAAGGAAAGAGAGAGAGAGAGAAAGATGTGTGAGAAAAGGCAACCAGCAAATAAAGAATCACCACCATAGCAAAATAAAACATAAATTGAAAGAAGGTGCCACTTGGCAATTGTACTGCACGGGCATCAATTCCACGCCACGGGGAGGAAGAATTAGGGATGAAAAGGAGGAGATAATGAAGAGTTACAAGGTGGGCAAACCCAGGGTCTAGCATCGTTTCTCAGGGGAAATTCGCTGTTGGGGAAAATGGAGCACTCCCACATCTATTAGAAAGTGAAGAAATCCTGGGCTGCATCTTGGTATCTGTAGGACTGGCCTAATGTCAATTCCCAGGAAGCTGTGTTTCCAGAGGCACGCTCTTTCCAAACCTAGCCTGCTACTCTCGGTGCTCTCCTGCTTTGCCTAATGTGGACAGATCTCACGGATGCCACGTTGGAAGTCGGAAGTGATAGTGGCCTTGCAGGGGGTGCCAGGGGGAGGTGCTGGGTGTAGAGAAGACTAAGTGAAGTGCTGGTTGGGGAAAATGCTGTGAAAGGTGATCATCAGTGCAAACTACTGCCCGGAGAGAAACTGCCTGCGCGAATGTAGCACTGCTCTGATCTTTTGCATTAACTTAACATGGCAATCATTCAAGCCACATCTGGAGTCACTGATTTACCTTTTTAATAAGAAATGATTACAGAAACATTTAGCTGAGGTGATCACTACCTCTTCTATTGAGACATGCTGTTGTTGTTTTTTTTTTCCTTTTTTCTAGGATCACCCTTTCCCTATCCCACCAGTAAATCTAACAAGGGCTTTCAGTTGTAGGTTATTCTTCCCTGGTTTTTTTCTAATCTCTTTACCCTCATAAAAATACTAAGAAGAAATTCAGGCCAGGAGCTTAATTATTTCATTTTTCTCTTCTTTGATGACTCCATACATTACCTTTAACTGTAAACTTTTAAAGGCATCATTTTTGAGCTGTAAACACTCTTTATTTGTCTTGATAATAATGGCTAACCTTAGAAGGTATGGAGATTTTGCTTTATTTTTCCAGTGTAAACTGGAAAAATGACACTTAGAGCTTTTTTTATGAATTGTGGCTGGAGACATGTATTAGTCTATTCTCACGCTGCTAATAAAGACATGCCCGAGACTGGGTAATTTATAAAGGAAAGAGGTTTAATTGATTCACAGTCCAGCATGACTGGGGAGGCCTCAGGAAACTTAAAATCATGGTAGAAGAGGAAGCAAGCATGTCCTTCTTCACATGGTGACAGCAAAAAGAATGAGAACCAAGCAAAGGAAGAAGCCCCTTATAAAACCAACAGATCCGTGAGAACTTACTATCACTAGAATGGCAAAGGGGAAACTGCCCCCATGATTCAATTATCTCTCACTGGGTCCCTCCATGACATGTGGGGATTATGAGAAGTACAATTCAAGATGAGACTTGGGTGGGGACACAGCCAAACCTGATTGATTATATCTTGATTAAATCTTGATTATATTGATTAAATATATTATTTAATTATATTTATTAAATCTTGATCAAATTGATTACCTCTTGATTAAATCTAGATATAATCAGGGTTTTCAGTTGCTACATAAATCGGCCAGTTGGCTCTATTCATGAATTTGAGTTCCTTCTCGAGAAGGATAAAATTATAGGTCATTAAATTTTTCTTTATTTCTGCTAATTCTCTGGCTTCAATATAGAATTACAGTATCTCTCTCTTTTTTTTTTTTATTTTTGAGTGGTAAGAAGCTCTGTGGCTCCATCAGAATGGCAACCTCCCCTGGAAAGTCAAGTCATCTTTACTTGTTTATTCAATTTCTTCTCATTTCATAGCTCCTCCTTTCTTCTAGAAACTTTGCCATACACATCTTCCTTTTCCAAATGCTTATGAATTATTTTCTTCATCACATTAAATTTTGTTATGCTACCAATATCTTTGACTGTCTAGGTATCTACCTATCTATTCATGTATCTTTATCTAAACTTGGTAATTTTGATACCTCTTAAATTTTTTTTTTTTTTTTTTCTTGAGATGGAGTTTCACTCTTGTTGCCCAGGCTGGAGTGCAGTGGCATAATCTCGGCTCACTGCAACCTCCACCTCCCAGGTTCAAGTGATTCTCCTGCTTCAGTCTCCCGAGTAGCTGGGATTACAGGCACATGCCACCACAGCCAGTTAATTTTTTGTATTTTTTTTTTTAGTGGAGATGGGGTTTCACTATGTTGGCCTGGCTGGTCTCAAATGCCTGACCTCAGATGATCCACCTGTCTCTGCCTCCCAAAGTGCTGGGATTACAGGCACGAGCTACCGTGCCTGGCCAATACCTCCTAAATTCTAAACACAGTAATATATACTGTACATACATTTCTAAGTTTAATTTAATCTTCAAAATAATTCTATAAAATAAGTAGTATTACATATATTTTACAGAAGAAAAAACTATATTTTACTTGTCTACTTATAATAACAACAATAACAATCATTTATTGAATGCCTAATACAGTCATGAACCACAAAATTACATTTCAGTCAATAATGAACTGTACACACTATGATGGTTCCAGAAGATTATAACACTGTATTTTTATTGTCCCTTTTCTGTGTTTAAGTATGTTTAGATACTTACCATTGTATTACAGTCACCTACAGTATTCAGTACAGTAACATACTATAAACATTTGTAGCCTAGGAGCAATAGGTTATACCAGATAGCCTAGGTGTGTAGTAGGCTACACCATCTAGGATTGTGTAAATACACTCATGAGGTTTGCACAGTGATGAAATCGCTTAATAACACATTCCCTAGAAGGTATCCCTGTCATTAAGTGATGCATGACTGTAGGTAGTAGGCATTGCACTAGGAGCCTCACTTATTTTTACATGATTATGTATTGCCTTGTTTGAAACTGGATTTAAGATGGCTTATTTTAACTATTCTTTAATTTTCATAGCAACTCTGAAGACAGAAATCTTATTTTAGAGATGATGAAAAGATATCTTTACTGATAAAGTTTTATTTATCAATTTAATATTTAGATAAACAAATCATCAACTGGCAATTCTGGGGGAGTCTTTCCCTGATTCCCTTGCCTTATCCTGTTTATCATAAGCCCTGATAGTGGCCAGAAATTGCTCTCTTTAGTGCTTGCTCTGTTCAAGATATTTACTTACTTTATAAATGTTACTTTCTGTACAAAACTAGAAAATACAGCTAAATGAAAATTGGAAGAAAATTATGTTTCCTTTTCTGGAATACTTTTCCCATTCTTCATTGTCCTGCCTCTTTGAGCTGAAAAGTCACTTCTTAGGGGAGCTTTCCCATCCCTAGGTCAGGTCTCTCTTTCAAATGTTCCTCTAGCTCTGCGCAATTTTACTCTAAAGACTTCAATAGCATTTTGATTAAGTAATTGCTTTTACAAAATAAGCTTATTTACTCAATATATATTTATGCTTATCCTCGTATATGTCAGGGCCTGTGCTTAGTTCTATGAAGTAGCAAGTAAAACAAACATAGTGCCTGCTTTTTTGTCTGTTGCCCTGAAAGAACACAGGTGCCATGAGGGTGGGCGGTGTGTCAATGGGCTCATGATTGTATTCACAGATTCCAACCTGTTTCTTGACGTATGGATATGTGAGACACATCTGTAACCATGTGATTGAGAAAGGTCGAAAGGAAAAGGATAAGCAAAGATATAACAAGCAAATGCAAACAAAAACCAGAAGGTGGTTTAGTAACATCAGACAACATGGAATCAAATGCAAAGCATCTTATAATGACAATGGTGCAATCTTCAGTGTGAATCTGATATCCATATTTATGTACCATACGATCAAACACTAACATTTATATTGGTTGACAAAATAATGAACCCATAGAAGAATCTTATATATGTATGTATATATTTTTCCAACTTCTTTTTGCCAAAAAATACATAGGTATAATAAGTCATGTGAAATACCTGAATCTGGCCTTCAGCTCCTGAAATTTAAGTGGGTTCTTGGTTACAACTCATGAATACATAACATATTGAAATACTGGGGGATTTATTTTTTCCTGAGTTAACAAACACAGGTCACTGCCCTAGTTTGTGGTTTTTTTTTCCTCTCTTCTGGGTATGCTCTGTCATGTTCAAATTCATATCTCTGTAACTCTGAAGTCTGTGTTCCTTTCACTAAATGTAATTTCTCTTTTAATCTCAATCTTCCCTATCCTTTGTTTTCTCCTGTATGTCTATGGGTCAGATAGAACTTTGGTGGCAAGTAATAGAAAAAAGCAGAAAAGAAGGCATAAAAGCAAGGATCCCTTTTTTTTTCTCCAAAGTATTGAAGTTAAATGATTTTAAGACTAGATTTAAAAAAATCTCGTTAAGCTCTCATTTAAATGTGGGGGTGTCATAAATAATACAAAGCATCAGAAAATATATCACACTAAGACAATCTTTAAAGAGCTGAATGTATTAGAGGTTGTACTCCAAAAATAAGAGAAATACATAGAGAAGGTAGTAATAAAGTAAATGGAAAGTGAGGGTGTAACTTACTAAGTGTTAGTTGTATTTTTTAAAAAGGCATGAAAAATAAAACAAGCAAAAATAAGAACTGGACAATACAAAATTAAAAATTCAGACATGATGACCTGGGTGGGGCTAAAGGAAGAGCTGAAGTACACGTCCTGCTTTACTGAGGAGAGGTAAGGATACAGATACAGTTAAGAAATTATTAGAGAAAGATAAACATAATGTGAATGAGTAATGACCAGAAGAATAAAAAGTGAATGCATGATTTTAAGGTTAGAAGAAAATTCATACTAATCAAGAGAAAAGGGAAAAGAAGAAAAATAAATAAATAATAATTAAAAAGATGAGGAAAGATTTAACAGAAAATGGACACAATTCACTAATCAAACATAGAAAGAAATTCAATTGGCATCACAAAGAGAGAGACAGCTGATGTTAATAGAGCTGTACGTAACTGTTACTGATATTCATCCTTTCAAGGACAAAAATCTAATTTCGTCACAAAGCATACCCTCTACGAAGAAAAATATAACTTAAACACCCTTAAATAATATTTGTGTTGGATATGAAATCTATAGCAATAATGAAATAGCCACAAACAAGCTGCCCTTTGTCAGGGTATACTCTCACGCTCCATGCCAGGCTGCCTTCCTTGAGAATCTCCCCCTTGCTTAGGCTCTAAAACCTTGTTCTAGGCTGTCCAGGTGTGTGCAGAAGTTTAAAGCTGGATTCATATCTTATGCCATGTGTGCCGGTAGATACCAAATGAATTAAAGACCTAAATGTGAATGGTACAACCATAACACAAAGAATAAAATGTAGGAGACTATCTTAGTGATCTAGAGATTAACAAAAACAACTTCTCATGCAAGATTCAAAAATAAGAAGCCATAGGTTAAAACAGAGAGAAAAATATGACAATATCAAAATAAAGGATTCCTACTGGATGAAAAAAAGCACCATAGTCACATACTGAGAAGAGATATTTGAAACGTCTAAAACTTACAAGGAATTCGTATCTAGAATAGAAAAGAAAACTGAAAATTCCCAAGAAAAAAGCATAAAATACGGAAGGAAAGTGTACAAAAGTTATACACAATTTCACAGAAAAACTCGAAATCGAATAGATGTTTGAAGAAATGATTAATAGCAATAGTTATCAGAGAAATGTTAATTAGGACAATAATGAGATGGACTTGGCCGGGTGCGGTGGCTCACGCCTGTAATCCCAGCACTTTGGGAGGCCAAGGCGGGCGGATCACGAGGTCAGGAGATCGAGACCATCCTGGCCAACATGGTGAAACCCCATCTCTACTAAAAATACAAAAAATTAGCCTGGCGTGGTGGTGGGCGGCTGTAGTCCCAGCTACTCGGGAGGCTGAGGCAGGAAAATGGCATGAACCCGGGAGGCGGAGTTTGCAGTGAGCCGAGATCGCGCCACTGTACTCCAGCCTGGGAGACAGTGAGACTCTGTCTCAAAAACAACAACAACAACAACAAATAATGAGATGGACTTAACACCCAACAACATGCATTCCATAAGGACAAATGGAATATCAGAAAAGTAAAGTGGCAAGTTTTAGTGAGTAGTGAGGAATTTTCATAGGGAAGTTTGGTACCATTTGTTAAGATTATGTCTACCTCTGCCCAACAATCAGTGAGTATCCTGGAGAAATTCTTCCCTTTCACTGCAGAGTGATATGTCAAAACAATTCTTCCGTCTTTGTTGATGGGGAATTGGGTTCATCAACAGAGAAATGGAAAAGTAAGATATGGTCTATTAATATATGTTATAAAGCAATATGTGCACAAAAAGCAACCAGCTGGATGTAGAAATAAAAATTTGGGTAGATTTTTAAGAACAGTGTTAATAGGACAAAAGTAAAAAGTGGAACGCAATTTATAGCATAATAGCTTTTGTGTCATGTAAACATATAAGCACAAAAAACTGTACTATGTATTTTACAAGGCTAGGTGCATATTTAAGGAAATATAGTAAACATGTTTAAGTGGGTGCATAGGAAGGCAGGGTAGTAGAAGCAGGAGCTGAACATAAAGAGGCAAATAAACAAGTGAGGGTCTTGGGCAGACTGGTGTCCCAAGCTGGCGGGGTGGCTGGAGTGGTGGGAGTGGATCTCAATTGCTGGCCCCTCTCCAGCTGGAGCAGCTCTCTTTCTTGTGCATTATGAGGGTCTTCTGAGCAAGATTTCATGAGAGAAAAATTCCCAGTGCTGAAAAGCAGTTTTAAAGACATTGACCTAGTGGATAAAGTATTGTGCATGAAAGCAGGTGCCTTAAATTCCACAACCTGCCCCAACACAATCCGTGTGCCTTAGGGTGAAACCCTGAAACCGTCTGTCTTTGTTTTCCTATCTGTAAACTGAGAACAAAACACCTCTGTTTTTCTTAATCTCTCAAGATTGTTATGATAAAAAAAAGAGTCTGATGACCCTTGAAATTATATCTAAAATCAATGAGTCATGTAAGACAATACCTGTTGCTGCTCTATATTAATGTGTAGAGTTGTTCCCACCCAGAAATTCTTCTGTCGCACTTGTGAGCAGTAAAAAAGTACATGGAAGCAGGCTTAGGAATATGTCTGTGGAAATCTCTGTACTCATCCCGCCCCAAGTGAGTAATGAGATGAGGTCCAGGCTAGTTTCCTTTAGGATGAAATAAATAGTATGATTTACAAAATGTCTTATGTGTGTTACCTCCCTTCTCTTTTTCTGATTTATCTCTTTAATTAATCCAATGATTCTCTAACTTTTTGGTCCCAGAGACATTTTATGCTCTTGAAAATTATTGAAAACCCCACAGAGCTTTAACTTATGTGGGTTATATCTATTGATATTTACTGCACTAAATATTAAAACTGTGAAATTAAAAATATTTATTAATTAATTCATTTTAAAATAATACTAACAAACTGATTTTAGTTAACATAAATATTTTCCCAAATAACTAAATATTCCAAAATAAATGTTTCCCAAAAACAAAAAAATTAGGATAGTCTTATTGTTTTTATAGTTTCGCAAAAATTTTTAAAGATTCTTTATAACTGCTTCCAGAGGAATATGTTTAGTAAAATGCTTAGACATCAAATATAGTCTCAGAACATTTTATAGCATGGAATATATAACTTCCACATTTAGAAAATAGCCTAACACCAAATCTTTGTCTTTCATTTGTTATTGAAGGAGTATTTTCTGTTTTAAGCTTGATGAAAGAATCCAGGAGATTTTGACTTCAACATATTTGTCTCACAAATGACTTTTATAAGGAACATTAAACCTGTCTAGAATAACATTAGGTTGAACTACATAAAATTAGTAATATCTGACTACTCTTTTGACCTTTAAAAATAAAATTTTATACAGTTTTTCCTAATATTAAGGATAGCAGAGCAAAACCATTTGTATTCTTTAAAGAAATCCTTATTAAGGAGAACTTTACTTTGTTTAAGGAAGAATTTAGGTTATACTTTAAGAAAAATAGTTTTGCCATATTGGAAGGGCTTTCTGAAAAAGCTTGGTTTGTGGATTGAGTCCTGACTAATGGTGGAAGATTCAAGATGTTCTAGAAGTTTACGATAAAGTTTATCAGTTCTCACCTTTTAAGTCTAGCTATAGTAGATAACGTTTCACTTGAGATAACTGCTTTTAATTTTTTTGAAATCAAAATACTTACCAGATATTAGGGACAGGGTTGATAATACAAATCTTAAAATTGTTTATTTTTATTATTGCTAAATAGTGTTAATAGAACTCACTAAAATGGTACCAGTATAGCAATAATGCTTTTCTTTGAATTAGAAGCTATATGTTTGTCTATTCAAAATGCTTATTGTGATATATAATAGCGATATAAATATACATCCATGTGTTGACACTTTTTACCTACAATGTATTTCTTTTTAAACCAAAGCCCATCCTATCATACCCAGGAGTTACAGAAAGATATTGCTCACCATCGGTGCTTCATATTATAAAATACAAACAAATCGTTACTGTGTTCTCATATTTCTAATGTACTCGTACATTAGAAAGCAGTCACTTTTTAATTTATAGGAATCTAAATTTTAATCATTATTTCTTTCCTTGAACTGTGTGCTAGTTATAAATTATTCTAAAGACAGTGTGAAGTGTCAACAAATCTTATAAGACAGTATACCTCATTTAGTGTCTTAAATCAACAGTATTTTGCACTGGGAGCAAGGAAACCAGGATTTTTAGCCAAAATAAGATATATGAAAATACAGAAAGACCTTTTTTGGCTTTGTCCCTTTTTTTCTGACATCATTGTATAGAAAATTCGAAGTTCTTTTGCCATCATCACTCAATTTTGTAGGTATCTGGGTCCATGGCTAGTTAAGATAAGACCTGCATTTATTGAGTACCTTATCAAAGAATGTTGGAAGCATCCTACCACCAGTTTTTAAAGAATGCCCATAAAGTAGAGGAACTTCTAACTAAATATAGGGCAGTAGGAATGGAAGTAATATCATACAGAATATAATTTTCAGTAGAGAGGTCAGGTTCAGGAAGAATAATAGCCATTCAGTTACTGACATTAAGGCAGCAATAAATGGAATACAAAAAAGTGATAGAAAAACGGTGGCAGTGTCTGCTACAGCCTGGTGTTTCCTAATCCTGTGTCCCACTTACCATCCTACACAGTGTGCATCCTATTGCCTCAGGCCACCTGTCTGGTACATCTGGGGAAAAAAGGAATGAAACATCGGATGCTGGCTGTGGAATGGGCTCTGAGAATTTGTCAAGAATCATAAGTCAAAGACAAGAAGCCAGACTCTAATTATGAAGCCATGTGTCTTTTTCTTTGGGAAGCAATAGAAGAGCCTAAATGTGCTCAGACAAAAGAGCATAAATAATAGCTGTGTTTTCTTTTAGCTTACTCTTTTTGGTAAGAACTAACCCCAGCTCTTTTAGCTTTTCCTCTTAGGCTGTTCCTGGTCAAATCATTTCTGAATCTCTGTTTTCTGACATCTGTGTTTTTTATATTGTGTCTGTGGCACCCAAAACTCAAAGACAGTATTTGAAAAGAGTGTGTTAACTAATGCTGAGTCAATAGATGGAGGGTTGGTAGAGCCGTATTACTATGTATAGTTATATGTACAGACCGTGATGCAAGCAGGATGTCATAGGAAGCTGGGAATAGGCCACCTTTCATTTCCTGCCCTATAGAAGCCTCTTTCTTTTCTTCCTTAGCTATTGTCCTCTCCCTGACTAAGAGATACGTTGGACAAGTGCATCATAGTTGGAATCGATGTTCGTTTGCGAAATATATAATGTAATGTGTTTGATTAGAAAAACTATCTACATCAGTTTCTGAGATGCGCTCATATTAGAAAGTTAGATAAGGTGCAAGAATGTATCTTGGGAGAGGACAGTATTTTTTTTTTCTTCTGGCTGTCAAATTAGTATGACATAAAGTCTTTGCTTGCTTTTCAATAAAATGTACCAATTTGTAATCTTGGGACCAGAAATTTGGGAGAAGCATAGAAGTACTTTATAAATACTACTATTTATCAGGATGTAAGCATGAGTTTGCCCTGCCCTCTTTGCTAATTGGTATCTCTGTCAATAATACGTATACATTTTTAATAATGTTATCACAACCCCCTTCTCCTTATCTGTGGTTCTGATCCATCTTCCTTTCATCAGTCTCCTTAACCAAGCCTCATAGGGGAGGTAGATTGTGTAGCATGGGACTGCCTGAGCTATATGCTTATTCCCATTAGAGGCAGGGTGGTAATGAGAACTCATGTGCAGAGAAATAACAATTTATTTGGAATCTAGGACAGGGCTTTACTAAATATTTTAGATATGAGTCTTGTTTACTATTGTAGTTCTTTTGACATCATTGATGGCATGAAATGGTGGTTCAGCTGCTAAACTTATAGACATGCTATAGCCAGCAGACACATGCCTTTAATGAGAATCTTGATTCAAAGTAACTGTTACCAACATCAGCAATCCCACACAGGGTTCCCATGCTTCAGAGAGCAGTTATTCCCAGAAATTCCCTTCATAAACATACTGGATTTCACCAGCTTGTCATTCTCATGTACAATTATCTGATGATATCTCAGTAGCAGACTATCTGTGTTCTTTTAAGAGCTTCAGAAAATAACATCACAAACAAAATGCAATAATACCAGTAAGATTTAGAACTAGTTGGAAAAAGACACTTTTGAACTAATTTGATTAATACCATCAATTATTCTTTATCTATTTCCTTGTTGCCACTCATGATTTGACACTTGTGGAGTAAACTAATGTTAATATAATGCATTAGGAAGAATTCCCCTCCTGAGGGCCACTGTAGCATAGCAAAGTGATGTTTAATGTTTTCTATGATATTTATTTAACTAAAATGGCTGATTAGATGTTAAACAGAACATAGGTTAATGATCTTTGTTGTTGGCATTGTAAAAAATTAAAAAAGAATAAAATAAGGTTAATGATGTATGCCATTATTATTACAGAGATTAAAAGCATGCAGTTGTTGGCTGCAGTGAAAAAAATGGGCACCAAGCTGTGAGTAATTAACAAAATTATATTATCTTCTAACCTTATAATTAATTAGTTTGTTTAGCTGTAGTATTTTTAAATATTGGTCTTCATTGCCTTCATTTAATATAAAAATCTATACATAATTTTATATCTAAATATTGGAAAGCAAACTCATAATGTTTTTTTTTTTTTTACTTCTGAGAAAGAACCAGTGAAATCTATAGTCACTACCAAAGAAAGCACACTAGAAGAGACGAGATACCGAAGAACTTCTAGACGTGGTGGACTTAGTGGAGATGTTGGAAGCTTTGGAGGTCTTTTTTAGCTTTGGGAACAATTAAAAGTTTCCACTCTTTGACCATCTCTACCAACCCAGGAATGCTCTTTGTTCTTTGAATTGTTTAATGAAAAGACTAGTTTTCTTTTTTCACATGAATTGTTTTTACGGTTACTATATTTAGGAAATAAAAACATAGGATGCCCAGTTAAATGTAAATTTCAGATAAACTATGAATGTTTTGCCGTTCAGTGTTCCCATGCAATATTTTGTGTATATTTATACTTTAAAGTTATTTATTTATTTTGAGATAGAATTTCGCTTTGTTGCCCAGGCTGGAGTGCAGTGGTATGATCTCAGCTCACTGCAACCTCTGCCTCCTGGATTCAAGCAATTCTCTTGCCTCAGCCTCCTGAGTAGCTGGGATTGCAGGTGCCCGCCACCCGGCCTGGCTGACTTTTTTTTTTTGTATTTTAGTAGAGACAGGGTTTCACCATATTGCCCAGGCTCGTCTCAAACTCTTGAGTTCAGGCAGTCTGCCTATCTCGGCCTCCCAAAGTGCTAGGATTACAGGCGTGAGCCACCACGTCCATCCAGGTTATTTATTTTTTTATTAGAAATTAAAATTTAACTGGCGATTCTACTTTTTATCTGGCAACCCAAATTATTTAAAACCTTCTGAACTTTGTTGCACGAATACTGGCTAGTAAATTCAGACATTGGGTTTGAAATATAATATCTTCAAAGGCATAAAAAAGCAGATATCCTTCCTTGCAGTTAAACTGAAACTTGTACTGTTTTTCTAAAGTATACAGTCATTTGTTATATAGAATTTACAAGAATATTTACATCTATTTATGTGGAGAGAGTGTGCTTTTTATATTGTTGGGCTACATAAGTTTCTAAATAAACGTGCCTTTTCCCTAAGTTCCTTCCTGTGTCCTTGGTATCATAGCTAGAACTTGTATGCTAATAGGGTATGGATTGAGTGGGGCGAACAAAAGGACAAATCAGATGATGGTGAAAGTGTGTTAAAGCAATGTATGTTTCTTACTTTGGTCACCCATAAATATTATCCTCCTGCTCCTCATCCTCACTCCTAGTCACAGCATGGCAAACGATGCCCAAAAAGTTGTGGATTTCTTACTGCTTATTGAAGATATTGCTAATACACAGTCTTTCTATATTTTAAAAAAGAATGAATAAAAGATCTGCTGAAAAAAAGCTGGGATATTTAGGCTCTGATGAAGTTTTAGTAAGCTATTTTTAAAAGTCAATTTGTTAAACTTTGTGACATTACATTATTTTTGCTTAGTTGTCTAAAGTGAGGCATTTTAAAAAAACAAAAAAATGCTTGATTCAGTCCTCTTAAATTGTTGGATTTCAATAGTTTGTTTCTAACTACATGTTTTTCTAGAGGAAAAGATACACAGGTTTTCTGAGTTTTTCTTTTTCATTCTTTTTTAAAAAGATTCTTACCTTGGCATTTTTTCTTAATTCACTAGACTCCATATCTTAAGCTAATTCATCTTTGATCATGATCCAATTTGAACCGCAGTCAACGAAGGTGTAAGTTCCTAGGAGTGATAATCATTTATTTTTGTATACTATCCAGGGAAGAGTGTTGTGTAAAAAATTCATGTTTCTCTAATATTTACTCATGAGTTAAGCATGTTGACTTGTATCTTTATGTTTCAGTTGGCATTTGTTTATAGGCAAGTTTTCTTAAACTTGTTGATATAGCTCTTAAACTTGTTGATAGCCTGCACATTGAGGCCTGCTTATGAAAAACTTGAAATTGTGGGCTGGGTGTGGTGGCTCACGCCTGTAATCCCAGCACTTTGGGAGGCCAAGGAGGGTGGATCATGAGGTGAGGAGTTCGAGACCAGCCTGGCCAACATACTGAAATCCCGTCTTTACTAAAAATACAAAAATTAGCTGGGCAAAGTGGCACGTTCCTGTAGTCCCAGCTACTCGGGAGGCTGAGGCGGGAGAATCGCTTGAACCCAGGAGGCGGAGGTTGTGGTGAGCCAAGATCACACCACTGCACTCCAGCCTGGGTGACAGAGACCTAGAAATTTTGTGTTGAATCTTTTCACTCAATCAAAATTTAATTTTCACTAATCCCTTTTATACATTATATGCTGTGTGGTCACAGAGATACATTAAGACCAAACCATATGATATTACCAATATTTGTCTGTTTTTCATTAACAAAAATGACAATTTCATATGGGCCAACTAAACATAAGTTCTCTTGTCTTCCCTGAAGTAACTTGGGAACGTATGCAGTATAGTACATGGTAATGCATGGTAAGTTGCAGTTATGTAGCCCAATGCTTTCATACTCTGAACATCTGTATGAGGGCTCAGAATGTGATACTTTTATCTACTTAATTATTTTTTCAATGAGCCACTTTTAAAAAACTTTGGGAAATTTAACTCTTTTAAGGAATGTTAAAGAAAAATGCATACTAGTTTGAAATGCTAGTAAAATATTTTCTAATAGCTCTCATGTTCATCAGTGTAATAACAAAGTCACCTTACCTACCATGTAAGACATATGTTACGCTTTGGAAAAACCACTGGAATTAATAGAAAATGCTATAAGAGTTCTGAAACATTGATCATATATATCTATATCTATATCTATATTTTTGAGACGGAGTCTCGCTCTGTCACCAAGGCTGGAGTGCAGTGGCATGATCTCGGCTCACTGCAACCTCTGCCTCCAGGGTTCAAGCAATTCTGCCTCAGCCTCTCGAGAGCTGGGACTACAGGCGCCAGCCACCATGCCCAGCTAATTTTTTATATTGTAGTGGAGACGGGGTTTCACTGTGCTGCCCAGGCTGGTCTCGAACTCCTGAGCTCAGGCAATCCGCCCACCTTGGCCTCCCAAAGTGCTAGGATTACAGGCGTGAGCCACCATGCCTGGCAACATCGATCATTTTTAAAATGTTTCTGGAAATTCAGGTGGAGAGAGAAATACACATATATTTTCGAGACGGAGTCTCACTCTGTTGCCCAGGATGGAGTGCAGTGGCTTGATCTCAGCTCACTGCAACCTCTGCCTCCCAGGTTCAGCGATTCTCCCGCCTCAGCCTCCCAAGTAGCTGGGATTATAGGCGACTGCCACCACGCTGGGCTGATTTTTGTATTTTTAGTAGAGATGGGGTTTCGCCATGTTGGCCAGTCTGGTCTCCAACTCCTGACCTCAGGTGATCCGCCCGCCTCGGCCTCCCAAGGTGCGGGGATTACAGGTGTGAGCCACCGCACCTGGCCGAAATCTATATTTTTTAATAAAAAATAAATCTGAAAGAAAAATGGAGATGTCAGTTGCTTTCTAAATTTTATACTAGATCCTAAGATATACTAGGTTGAACCATTTAAAAAATCAGCATTAATAGGGAGCAAAAATATTTCCATATTGGCAATTTCATATAATTTAATCTAGTATGTAATGAAAAATATTCCCTTTCCTGAAGGAAATTAAAGCAACATTATAGTTGGATTATCCATGAAGACATGCAGTATACTTCCCAGAGGGGTTTTCCTGTTCTTCATTGCCACAGGTAACTTGCTGACCCTTCAAGCTGTTGACCCTAACTTGTTGACTCATTCCCTGGGCCACTTTACGGTGGTATTTTCAATGATCTTTTATATAAGGCAAGTGAAAGCAGTGCAGGTAATAGTGGGACTAGAAACAGTAGCACACCTGTTTATGTTTGCCAATATCCTGCTCTGATTAAATGAGACACCTACAAAGAAGATCACCTGTTAAGAGGTAGATCATTTGTCTCCTATCTACAGCCAGCCAAGCGGATAGACGTATATCAACATAGCTGGGAGCGATCATCATGTTGTGAAGTATGTGGAAAGCAGACAGGCATGAGATATGCACACATGAATTGTCCTCTTTCAAACATCAGGCTGCTACGTTGCTAGTGTATGCCTGAATCCAGTATGCCCAAATAAACTTAGTTTAGTTTTTCTGATATTACCACTTGGATTCCATAATATGTTGTGACACCAAGATAGCGAGAAAATAACGAGAGACTTCAGCAGCATGAAAGATTTTGCTAACTTTCTGCAAAGCCAAAATATCTATGAAGACACAACTAAGAAATTTTATGCAGTTACTTTTTTCCTACTCAACAGGTATTTATCATTATTTCTCTTTTTAAAAAGAGAAATTTTCCTTTGGAACTTGAACTGCAATTATGAATGCAAAAATGCATTATACAGAGAGAAATTCATGCAATGTTACCTACATGATGTACTTCATACTTGGGAAAGATACTATTTTACCATATTCTCTACTTATCTTTTGGGGGGATGGCACTTAGGGTATTATTCCAGTGAGAAGATATAATTGTCACTGGGGAATTAGAGAAGGTAAGGTAAAGTGTGTTAAAACGAATATAGAATTTAAGCTACTGAACACATTGAAAGTGTTCAATAAATAATTGCTTTATATAAATACATATTCTTAGGCCTGGCTCCCAAAGTGCTGGGATTACAGGTGAGAACCACTGTGTGCATTCTAAGATGCAGAAAAAGCTGAAAACATTAACTTATGATAACTTATAGCTTATGACTGGGGCAGGTGTATCACCTGAGGTCAGAAGTTCGAGACCAGCCTGGCCAACATGGTAAAACCTTGTCTCTACTAAAAATACAAAAATTAGCTGGGCGTGGTGGTGTGTGCCTGCCTGTAATCCCAGCTACTCCAGAGGCTGAGGCAGGAGAATCGCTTGAACCAGGGAGTCAGAGGTTGCAGTGAGCCGAGATCATGCCACTGCATTCCAGCCTGGCATGAGTGAGACTCTGTCTCAAATAAATAAATAAATAAATAAAATAAAATAAAATAAAAACATTCTATTAAAGTCAACTTTAATAATTTCTCTCTTTTTAATAAATGCCTTTAACAACTTTCTGAAAGCTTCTTGTTTAAAATTTAGGTGCAGCTCAATCTAAACAGACGACATTTTGCATAATTTATTGTTTGCGTATAATTAATACAAATGACTTTTGATTGATATTTAATACTTTATATATATTCTATACTGGATTAGTATACACACAAAAATTTTAGCATAATATAATTGAGTAGTAAAGTTTCTAACTGTAATAATTTTTGAATATAACATTTTTAGTTATTACTTTCAGGAATAGCCTTTGAAACATTAACAAATTTTAACCAGTATAGTTCTTATGTAGTTCATAACAGAATGTACTATTAAGGAATACTACCTTCATAACATATGTAGAGAGAAAATGTAGAAGTTGTATATTTGATGATGAATGAAATTTTATAGAAGAATATTTGATATGTAAACTAAGCACATTTTACCAAATATATTATTAGAAGTTTATGTGAATGAATACACAAACATTTTTTAACGGAATAGCGTATCATTATAAAAGTGTTTGAGGAGGCCAGGCGCGGTGGCTCACGTCTGTAATTCCAGCACTTTGGGAGGCCGAGGCACGCAGATCACGAGGTCAGGAGTTCGAGACCAGCCTCACCAAAATGGTAAAACCCTGTCTCTACTAAAAATAACAAAATTAGCTGGTCGTGGTGGCACGTGCCTGTAATCCCAGCTACTCAGGAGGCAGGAGAATCGCTTGAACCTGGGAGGTTGCAGTGAGCCAAGATCATGCCACTGCCCTCCAGCCTGGGTGAAAGAGCGAGACTTTGTCTAAAAAAAAAAAAGCGTTTCTGGGAAAGGAGCTGAGATATCTTCATTACTTATTTCAAGATTACTACAAGGTATCAATAGTCATAGAAATGTTTCAATGCTGTTTCTCATCTGCTATTGAACAAAAATATAAGTGGTTTAGGGTACAGTTGCTCACCTATAAATTCTGTTTCAACAGATATTAGCAATTTCAAATTGTGTATTTAAAACTATGTTCGTTTAGTAATTAAATAAAATATAGTTTGTAGGAGGTAATGAATTTTCATTCTCCTTTACTTATTAAAATGCATTAAAGTTTTATCATGATGATCTTGGGAATGTAACAAAAATGACCACATATAAATGTTTTGGTAGGAATGTATTCATTTCTCCAACCTAATAATAAATTTGTAATTGACAACACTCATGAAGAGGGTGGTGAGGAAATGCATCATTAGCGGGTAAATTTTTTTTAGTCAATCTTACAAGTGATTTCCAAAACATTGGGTTAAATATTACGTTTGGCAGAAAAAATTTGCTCCAGCTGCTCCTACATTGTCAATGTGAATTCTATCACAGGAGGCCTTCAACATTGCTCATTTTCATTGCTCTGTGAAATAATGATTATACAATTTCAAAATAGCCAGAACATCAATAGAGAAAAGAAACAAAACATATTGAAAAATGATTGAGAAGTTTGAATATTCTTTACAGGATGGAAATGGGTTAGCAAATTATTCTTTCAAATCAGAGATCTATTTTCACATCATATATTTGAAAATTATCACTCATGAACTCTGTTTTGTTTTCTTCCATTATCAGCAATAACCTTAAAAATCTTTAACCTTTCATAGTACAGGTTCAGTATTAACTGTCAGATAACATGTCTCACAGGTTAATTTTTCTATTGAATTTTTGCACTTCTGTCAGCAGGCATGACATTATCGCTCTCTAATTTCTTCAGTGAAGCACATTGCCAGTAGGAAATTATTTCTTGTCTGGATTTGTGTTTTATAACGACATGCCAAATATAGTAAAGTCTAAGATATAATCTAACTGGCATCACACTTTGTATATAACACTTACTGAGTGCATATAAATTAGAATGCAGGGTTCATTGTGCCTGGTTTTCTTTTATCATGAATCTTGTGTTCTATGTTATATTTTTCCCCTTCCATTTAATTATATATGAAAAACAAATTTTACAGTAAATGGCACATAAGAGAAGACTTTACATTAAATTGAAGCAAATTTAGGGACAATTAACTCACTAAGTAGTTAACATAATTTTTCGACAAATTGAATTTATAAACCTGTATTTCTGTGTTTGCATGTGAATATACAATATTTTCACATAGTTATAACATTGAAAAGTATTGCCCTTAAAAATAAAAGTTTTACCTCTGACTATCATGTACATTGGTTAAAAAACATTTTAATCTTTGTAAAGAGTATAATTTAGAGTTACTATTTACTTTACTAGGAAATAACATAAAGGTGTTATGAAAATAAATTCAGGTATCAGCAGTACAATATTTTCAGGAAATAAGTAATTTCTAAGGTTAACTTTAGAACCTAGCACAGTTATCTAAAATACATTTTCCAGAGTAGAAAAAAATGCAAACCTTCCATTTTTGGCAATATGAGACACAAAAGTCTAAAAAATTTCATTTGTACAGAATATCTTTTGGTTTGGAATAGTACCTTTGAAAGAGATTACATGTTTATAAACATATACTTTGACATAGGTTTACTATTTTTAATGTATTTTACCAAAGTATTGGTGTACAAAGGTTTGGAAATTAATAACAACTAAACCCTTATCCTTCATCTCAGGTAATTTGAGAAGAGCTTAGGTATGACAGGCTAGATGTACTGCTCAAGGAGGAGACAAAATGTTGGTTTTACAAAAATTGGAAGCTCATGCCTGATATTCTTGCAAAGGTGAAATGTTTAGTGGATGAACCATAGCAAAAACAACAAAAAGTAGACAATGAAAAATAAACAATATCAATAATCCTCTGCAGAGGAGGGTTGTTTAGATAATTCACTTTTGAGTGGATGGAAAAAGTTTCCTGTAAGGATTCCTAACAACAAGGCTTTTCTCCTGCCAGTTTGAGGCCCCACGTCATCTTACCTATGTGATTCCACAAAATTAAAAAAATAAATATAAAGTATTTCTTGTGTAGAGTTTGCTAGATATTACCTTCTCTTCATAGAATACAAGGACATAAACTTGTGGTATTCTAAACAGTTCCCTCCCAACTTATATGCTATTATTTTTCCAGTTAATAATATTGTTAACCTTAAACCTTTTAATAAATATAAATTAAATATGGTGAGTAACCACTAAATGAATAAATATGAAATATAGCTCAAAAACTCGCAGGGAGAATTGTAATAAAAATAGAAAAAATTTGATAAAAATAATTTCAAATATATTATAATGACATCACAATAACTGTAAATAGACTAAATTCTTCAGCAAAATATACATATTTTTCAAATGAAAATGAAAAGAAATTCAGGTACATTTTAAAATATAAAGACAAAGAAAGATGCAAAGTAAAAGGTTAAAAAGAAAGCTACAAGTCACATTCTAAATGAAATATGTCTATAGCTATATTGAAAGAGAATAAAATAGAAGGTAAAGTAAAAACTTCACCAGAAATAAAAAAGATAGCATTTTGCCTCCCAAATCTGAGCAATGTATCAGGCTTTTTAAAACCTAAGCTCTACTACATATTAATATTTAACATAAATCTATAATAAGATAGCTTGGTAGTATGCAGGGATGGTGCATACTGGTGAATTAGAATAGAGATCCCAGAAACAGATCTGTGTGGATATTGAGATCTGATACAGATTAAAGTTGATAATGGCAAAATGATGGCTTAGTAAGTAAAAGATCATTAAATCCACATCTCATTATCCACAAAAATCAATTCTAGGTGCATGAAAACTTAGCTTTGAAAACCAGCACTTCAAAATTTTAGCACAGATTATTAGAAAATATCTTTATGCAGGAAGTTCTGGCTCATCAGACAAGAGAAAGAAACAAAGATCATCCAAATTGAAAAGGAAGAAGTAAAATTATCTTTGTTTGCAGATGATCTGATCTCTGATCTTATATTTGAAAAAACCTAAAGACTCCACCAAAAAACTATTAAAATGAATAAATTCAGAAGAGTTTTAGGATATAAAATCAATGTATAAAAATTAGTAGCATTTCTATATGCCATCAGCAAACAATCTGAAAAAGAAATCAAGAAAGTAATCCCATTTACAATAGCTACACATAAAATTTAAAATACCTGGGAATTAACCAAGAAGTGAAAGATCTTTACAATGAAAACCATAAAACATTGATGAAAGAAATTAAAGAGGATGCAAAAAAATGGAAAGATATTCCATGTTCATGGACTGGAAGAATCAATATCATTAAAATGTTCATACTATCCAAAGCAATTAATAGATTCAAATGTAATCCCAATAAATATATCAAGGACATTCTTCACAGAAATAGAAAAAAACAATTCTAAAATGTATATGGAACCACAAAAGACCCAGAAGAGCCAAAGCTATGCTGAGCCAGAAAAAAAAAAAAAGAAAGAAAGGAAAAGCAAAACTGGAGGAATCACATTTCCTGACTTAAATTATCCTACAGAGCTATAGTATCCAAAAGGGCATGGTACTGGTATAAAAACAAACACATGGACCAATGGAGCTGAATAGAGAACTCGGAAACAAATCCATACATCTATAGTGTATTAGTTTGTTCTCACACTGCTAATGAAGACATATTCAACACTAAGCAATTTATAAAGGAAACAAGTTTAATTGACTCACAGTTCAGCATAGCTGAGGAGGCCTCAGGAAGCTTACAACCATGGCAGAAGAGGAAACACATTCTTCTTCACATGGTGGCAGCAAGGAGAAGTGCCGAGCAAAGCCCCTTATAAAACCATCAGATCTCATGAGAACTCACTCACTCTCAAGAGAATAGCAGCATGGGGGTAACTGTCCCCATGATTCAATTACCTCCCATAGGGTCCCTCCCATGACACATGGGGATTTTGGGAACTACAATTCAAGATGAGATTTGGGTGAGGACACAGCCAAATCATGTCATATAGTAAATTCATTTTTGACAAATGAGCCAAGAACATACATTGGAGAAAGGACAGTCTTTTTAATAAATGGTACTTGGAAAACTGGATATCCATATGTAGAAGAATGAAACTAGACCCCTATCTCTTGCCATATACAAAAATCAAATCAAAATGGATTAAAGACTTAACTCTAAGACTTCAAACTATAAAACTACCACAAGAAAACATTCAAGGAAACTTTCCAGGACATTGGAAACATTTCCAGGACATTGGGCAAAGATTTATTGAGTAACACTCCACAAGCACAGGCAATCAAAGCAAAAAAGGACAAAAGGGATCACATTAAAAAGCTTCTGCACAGCAAAAGAAACAGTCAACAAAATGAAGAGACAAGCCACAGAATAGGAGAAAATATTTGCAAACCATCCATCTGACAAAGGATTAATAATCAGAATATATAAAGGGATCAAACAACTCTATAGGGAAAAAATCTAATCTAATTGAAAAATGGTAAAAAAAATCTGAATAGACATTTCTCAAAAGAAGGCATCCAAATGGTAAATGGGTATATGAATAAGTACTCAACATCATTGATCATCAGATAAATGCAAATCAAAACTGCAATGAGATATCATCTCACCCCAGTTAAAATGGCTTTATCCAAAAGTCAAGCAATGGCAAATGCTGGTGAGGATGTAGAGAAAAGGGAACCCTCATACACTGTTGGTGGGAATATAAATTAGTACAACCACTATGGAGAGCAGTTTAGAGGTTTCTCAAGAAACTAAAAATACAGCTACAATGTGACCCAGCAATCCCACTGCTAGGTTTATACCCCAAAGAAAGGAAATTAGTATATTGAAGAGATATCTGCACTCTTGTGATAATTGTAGCACTGTTCACAATAGTCAAGATTTGGAAGTAACCTAAGTGTCCATTAGCAGACGAATAGATAAAGAAAGTGTGGCACATATACAGAATGGAATACTCTTCAGCCATAAAGGAGAATGAAATCCTGTCATTTACAATAACACTGAAGTGGAGGACATTAAGTGGCATAAGCCAGGCACAGAAAGACAAACTTCACAAATTCTCACTTATTTGTGGGAGCTAAAAATTAAAACAATTGAGCTCATGGAGATAGAGAGTAGAAAGGTGGTTACCATAAGCTGGGAAGGGTAGTGGAGTGCATAGGTGAAGTGGGAATGGTTAATAGCTTCAAAAATATAGCTAGATAAAAATGGATAAGACTTAGTATTTGATATCACAGCAGGGTGACTAGAGTCGGCAATAATTTATTGTATATTTAAAAATAACTAAAAGAGTAGAACTGGATTGTTTGTAGCACGAAGAAAGGATAAATGCTTGAGGTGATGGATACCCCATTTACCCTGATGTGATTATCATGTATTGCATGTCCGTGTCAAAATATTTCATGTACCCCATATATATATACACCTACTATGTACCTATAAAAATTAAAAATTAAAAAAATCTTCATGAAATTGGAGTAGGTGATTATTTAATATCAAAAACCTACATTAAAATTAACTTCTATTTATTAAAAAAGTGAGAAGACAAAAAACAGGATTAGTGTCATATAGTTTATATATAATTATATATTACATATTATATAATTATGCTATATATAATACATTATATAAGATAATATAACTATAATATAATTAAAATAGAATCAATTTATATCATAAAATATTAGTCATATGTATTATTAGTATCATATATAACATGTCACATATAGTATATTTCTGTGAATCAAAATTAAATAGACAAATAACCCAACAAGCCAGAGAAAAAGGTGTGAAAAAGTTATGAACAGTTATGAACAGCAAAACTCATAAAGAAAAGAATGAATAATATAAAATTTATTGGTATGTCTGGTAGGAAGATAGGACTTCCAAGCAAGGATGACAAATGGGAAGTTTCAGAGATATTCATAAGGTTCCAGTTACATAAGTTGAGTGGTGAGAACACTGATATTCATTTTATTATTATTTTATAAACTCTTCATGCATGTTGCATATATTCTTCTTTATGAATAGGTAATAACAAAATTTGGTTAACATAAAAAAGAAATATATAAATTGTAATCTATACAATGTTTTGAGATCTATGTACAATGTTCTTTTTTTTTTTTTTTTTTTTGAGATAAAGCCTTTCTCTGTCCCCCTGGCTGGAGTGCAGTAGCACAGTCATGGCTCACTGCAGCCTTGACCCTCCAGGGCTCAAGCGGTCTTCCCAGTTTAGCCTCCTGAGTAGTTGGGACCACCACACCCAGCTCATTTTAAAGTGTTTTAGTAGAGATGAGGTTTCACTATGTAGCCCAGGCTGGTTTTGAACTCCTGCGATCAAGTGATCCTCCTGCCTCAGCTTCCCAAAGTGCTGGGATTACAAGCATGAGCCACCATGTCTGGCCTTTAACAATGTTCTTGTTAAACATTAAGGTGCATTAAAAGAAATAATCAGGCCGGGCGCGGTGGCTCACGCTTGTAATCCCAGCACTTTGGGAGGCCGAGGCGGGCGGATCACGAGGTCAGGAGATCGAGACCATCCTGGCTAACACGGTGAAACCCTGTCTCTACTAAAAATACAAAAAAAAAATTAGCCGGGCGTGGTGGTGGGCGCCTGTAGTCCCAGCTACTCGGGAGGCTGAGGCAGGAGAATGGCGTGAACCCGGGAGGCGGAGCTTGCAGTGAGCCGAGATTGCGCCACTGCACTCCCGCCTGGGCGACAGAGCGAGACTTCGTATCAAAAAAAAAAAAAAGAAAAAAAGAAATAATCAATGAAACAGGAACAGACAAAGAAAATGAAGATATTAAGCTTAGTTGAGGCCTAGTTGACATAGAAAAATGCCTTAATTAAGTGATAATCAAGATTCTCTTTTATGTTGATAGGGCAGTATATTTAATATCAGTACATAATGAATCAAAGATCTCATGTAAATATTTCTGATTACTCATGATTTTGTCTGATAAGTAGATAATTAGGTTACTTCATCAAGATACCTGCAAAAGGTCTGGTGATAAATATTTGAAAGGTGAATTAAACATATAAAATATCAATGTTAAGATAATAAATAGTTTTAGGCAACAATGTAAGAGAGATCACAAAAATAGGTAAAAAAAAAATAATAATTTCAGACCAAGCAGAACTGACCAAGTGACAAACTTGCTCTGTCAAATGTATGTAAACGTCAGCTCTTTATGAGTCTTTTTAATCATAAAGCTACTGATTACATTGATCTTTTTTAAACTACAAGGGCATTAACAAGCATTTTTACCAAAATGAATGGAAAGGTATGTGTGAAGGCACAATTAGAATTATGATGGGATATTTAGTTGAAGCTTGACAAAAGTTGCCATCAACACTTGATATAAAGGAAAAGCTTCCATCAGATGTGATAATGACTGGAAATTGTCTCATAGATTTTTATGTCTCAGTCTTCTATGTCTTTAAATGACTATGAGGATTCTATTTGTTTGCAAAAATATATTTAACATGGCAGAAATTTTTCTGAAATTAAGAGGAACAGTGAAAATTGTTGGTGAAATTGTTGGCAAAAATATAAATATGTTAGATTTCTTTATCTCACATAATCATTACTCTTAGAGGCATTTTTGTGTGTGTGTGTGCTTTTAATTTTCAAATGTTCTCCACTTTCGGTTTGTCATAAGTCTTCAACAATGTCAAAGGAATAAAGTATGACACAAAAGACGGTTGCACCCACAGCTTATGAATTTCCATGTATTATTCTGCTTCAGACAATGAACCAAATTCATGGCTGGGTTCTTTATTGAAATTTTTTTTCCTTTTCTCATAATAAGAATTTAATTTTATGCCACACTGCATTTGACATTAATTGGGTCTCAATATTTTAGGCTATAGTAACATTTTCAATAATCTATATTATTTGGAAAGTTTTATCATCCAATTATTATATTTTCCTATCATCTAATTTTTACATTTGTTATCATTCAATTATTGTGTTTGTTAAATATACAATGGATATTTTCAGAACACAACAACAACAACAACCACAACAATCTCTGCTATGCCAGCTATTATGTCAAGCATTTAACTTTCAATTCTCACATCAGACCTATGAGATAGGCACAATTTTATACTCTTTTTACTGATGGAAAAAAATGGGGTGACAGAGGTTAAATAATGCAAGACCACACATTTAGTAAGTTGTCTGAAACATGTTATAGAACATCGAAATCACATCCTTCTGTAAGCATTACACTGTAGTCCCTCCTTCCAGAATATTTTCTAAATATTCTTCTTAAATTTCTTTTCTTGTACATTTGTTATCCATTTAACAAGTGTTCTTTTTATCAAACCAATTTCCACCATCCTATGACAATAATACTCCTGTTATTCTTAACCAGTGTTTAAGGATTATGGAGCAATAATTAGAGGTTAGGGGCCATTGATCTTATTAAATTTATACTTAAAATTTATTCAGAAATTGCTCTTTTTATTTTTCTAACATACATGGATGAGTTATATTGTAAGAATGTGTTGCTGAATACATATTTGTTTATTTTCCCAAAATTTTAATATGAATCTCTGCTATGCTTTTATCTATTAAGGTGTATTTATATAACTATAGACACATCTACATCTACTTATTCATACTTGAGATTATTTAACTACAGCAATACTACAAAAACAGGTTTTACCCAAAAAGAAATAGTGCAATGGAACATTTGACTCTGGAGAATTATTAAGTCAAAAAGTTACTAGGTTTTTTCCTTTAAGTTCCACGATTAAATGTAAACTAAAGTAGATAGACATAAATACATCAAAAGTTGTATATTTCTGGTTGCTTGAGCTAATGATATATTTTTGGACACATCCCATTCTAAAATTAGTCTGCGGAAATGCAGCACTATAATCTACTTTCTGAATCCTATAAGGTGCCGTCTTAAAATTAGGGTCACAAGAAGGTGAAGACAGGCAGTAATACACTTGTTGACCCTTCACAGGAATTCCAGATAAAACCCCAGAAGTTGAGTCAGAGATAATCACAAGATCTGGAATTTACAATAACAAACTCTCCATATATCTACCTGTCAGATCTCTTCCTCTTAGGGTGGGACAAAAGGTCACTAAAATAGCTTTTTTTTTTTTTTTTGTGAAAACGTTTTTGCCCTTCTTTGGGAGTGGGGAGAGTAATGAGAAGTTATAGTACAAATTAAATAGGATGTTAAAATTCTCTTTTCATTAAAACTAAATTTATTCTTAAGGACCCTAACATTTATTAAATATTAAGAATTTTTTTCAAGCTGTATATAATAGAAGTTGAGGAAGAGTCATAAAAAGAACAACAAAGAAGGAAAACAAACTATTGATCACTCATACAAATATCAAATGTTAGAAATTTCAAAAAATCGAACACATGGAAAAATTCTAACTTAAATGAAATTTAAAACCCACACAATTTTATAAGTTTTTATGCAGCCATATTCTAAGGTGAGATAATGTGCTGTTAAAAAGGTATCACACTCAATCCTTTTTTTGTAGTAAATAAAAGAAATAATGAGACTACTATCTATTACTATTATATTTTTCCTAGCAATAATGCTGACAATCATATTCTGCTTTCTGAGGATTTTATAGGCAATAGGATGCAATGTGGAGTTATATTTTTCTAGTTTTTTGGTTAAGTTCTATAATATTAACATCATGATTTTACTTGCCTTTGCAAATTTGGTATCAGCTATAGCCTAATATCAAAGAAGTAAGTCCCTATCTAATTTCTCATTTCTCCCCCTCTCGGGTTATGGTTTAAAAGGCAAATATTATAGACTTTTCAAGTTATTTTCATGAAATATAGCATAGTATTGTGTCTTAAAGGAATATACACAGTATGCTTGAACTCATACCTTGGTGATATTTAGTATTTCATAGCATTTCTAAACAATAAACATTTTTCCTCTAGCCAATAATTTATTGCATGTCTCAAAGCTTCTAAATGATAATTGAGTTGTTTAGTAGAAAAGGAATTTCAGTTTTTTCAGATGATGGGTATATGAGCTAAAATCATGTAGGAGTGTTCTTGAACAAAAGTTTTATATATCTTTTTGTGGTTAAAGCAATGGCTAAAATTACCATAATAAACTAGCTTTCTCATAAAGAACAAGCACCATAAAAAAATAAAAAGACTCAACTTTTCTTTCAAAACTGGAAATACAGTAATATCTTATTTTCATATCTTATTATGTAACTAGGACTACTAGGACTACAGAAAAAATTGTTGTTAGAGGCAATGAATATTTTCCAAAATCCAAACAACGCATGCATATTGTCACTCACCTAAAGGACCTTATCTATCTGGTATTGATTCTGCATGAGCTTGCAACTTTCCATTAACAACAGATGCAGAGACACTAGAATAGGGACTAACATTTATTAAGATGCTATTCTCAAGGCTATTTTTCATTTTAGAGATGAAGCAGAGGGTGTGAGCCATATTTGTTTTGCTCACTTTTTATCCTTGTCACCAAGAGCAGTACTTGGCACTCATTAGTGCTCGGTACATACTTGGTGATTAAAAAAAAATTCTGAGGCATGGATGACAAAGTTGGATTTAAACTGGAGTTACGTGATTCCAGGATAGAGACTATAAAGATATAGGAATTTCTATATCTTTAAACAGTCATATCAAAGAGACTGATGTTCATATCACATGATTATAGACATAGAAAAAACTGATCAAATAGAAATTAAAAAAACATTGTTTCTGCGTTTTTATAAAGTAAGCATTTTATCAGTAAATATTTAAAATGTTACAGAAAAAATATTTTTAAAGAGGCAAACTTTAAAAATCTTTCTAAATAAGGTTTGTGCAAAACAATTAGAAATGCCACTTGCAATCTAAGTTTATCTGCCAATTTGAGACTTAATGATTTTTGCTTATCTTAGGATTTTTTTTTCTGCCAGTTATCCCTTGTTTCTCTTAAAAATCTGGAAACTGGATTGGTATCAGTACTACAGTATGTGCCAATCAATGATCAAGTTTACAAAGTGTTGCTTCCTGGCTATAGCATGTACATTCTTTTTGGTTGGTTGATGATTCATTAGGTTATATGAGTAAAAATAGCCAATAAGATGACATCTTCATGTATTTTCCCAGATTTTACTTATAAATTAAGTACATCATTTCTCCAAAGCTAAATGAAATTTCTTATCTAATTCCTATGACTCTTTTAGGAAGTTTGAATTAACAATAAATGAAACAATATTCTTTTCCTTTATCTCAAGGACTTCATTTGAAATAAAATTTCTTAATTTCTTTTTGCACCATTTTTATGGCCTCCTCAGTTTGTGTGGCATCCTTAAATTCCTTGTTGCACCTGACAAAAGGGATGATCCACCCTTTTCTTCTTTCTTTTTTAAATTAATTTTTATGTGGTTTTCAGATGAGAAAGGATGCAGTATTACCTTGACTGCCTGCCATAATATAAAATGCAGTAAAATGTACAGCTGGTGACAGTCTATTTAGAATTTTTAAATGAAATATAAAGAAAAAGACCAGGTGCTTAATTTTTACATGCTGCATTTCATTTTAAAAATTCATGGTACCTTTTTGAATAATTTTTACTCATGCAGATGTTCTGAATATTGGAGACAGACGTTTATTTCCTTGGTTCCCATTTCACATTAAGCTTTTGCACAAAGAAGGTGGGTTGAATGGCTATATTATTTGTGAGTCAGGATTCCAAGGATAATTATTCTGAGATAATTGTCAAATGACTCATGGCAAGACCTTTCAATGATGTGTTCCTTGTTTTTTTTAGTTCAGATCTGGAGGATAATGGTTGTTTAACATATTGGAAAGGAACTTTAGGCTATTTGAGAAGAAATATATGTCAGGAGGAATGTGTTGACTCAAAATAATAGATAAACTCATTTGTATTATTTGTTAGAGGATGAATCATTGCTTTAAGAACTGTGTGTCACATATTTCAGAATTGTGAAATTCCCAAATATCAAAGTTGCTTTTTCTTTTTTGCCTGACAAACATTATGAGAAATTCAGTCTGAATTACTTAGAATTAAGTGCTTAGAAGTTATAATGATTCTTTAAGCTTTGTCCCCCAAATTACAAATATATCAAAAATCTCAACCAATGTCCTACCCGTTAGATAAAATGTGGAACATAGCTGGATAGCTTACAGGGACATATGACTGATATTCATGGGTAATCCATGTATTTAAGTGATGATTTACCAGTTTGGTTAATGAATGAATAGGCAAAGGACATCAGGATATGTCTTGTGAGTGATTATCATTATCAGTAATGATGAAGATGAATTCATTGTGAATTAGGTTACTTCCTGTATTTAATAATATTCATTTTTCAAAGTTATATCATTCTGGAAAGGAAAAATTACTAATGGAGTTCCATTTGACAAATTATCTTCTAGTAATAAATTGTAATGCACAGTATCATTTTAAAAAGAAGTATTTGCTCACTGCTATTTATTCTCCCCATGTTGACCCTACTAACAGGAAGAATACATATGCCTGGGAAAGACAGATCCCGTTGGGCTTTGTCTACCTCTGTTTCTCATTAATCGATTCAAGTTGATGTTTAAAAAAATTTTCAAAAAGAATGTCCATTGTCTTAAATGACTGCATATTCTTGCTATTCATAAATTTCATTCTGTTTTCCTGAATTACCCCAAAAAAAGGCAGTTTTCCTGTTGAGGTTAATTTGGGATATGTAAAATAACCTCATCCTCTAAAAAACAAGGCTGAAATATTTTATCCTGACTATCAGTGACAGTCATTTGTTTTTCACTATATTTAGATTTTCTCAGTATTCTTCATAAGTCATAAGTTGAACAGGATTGTGTTCTCATTTTGGTATAATATAAGGCTGCTGGAAGGGAAAAGAGAAATACACAAAACTAAAACCGTCAATTAAAAAAAACAAAAAAAAATTTGTTCATTATTTCTGGTCTCAGTTACCACACCGTTGCTAAAAGCAACTCCAGGTGGTACGTTACTCTGATTAGTTTCATCCCTGATTGTAAATGGTGCCCCAAACGTTCTTGGGCATGTAACAAACCATTCATGCTAATATAAACAGTTTGTGTAAGTGTGTGGGAGGTATACAGTTGAATTAGTTCTGTGTCTTCCTAAACATTTGACATCTACACCAAACACAACACATTTTCATCATTTTCAATATGGCCCTAGGAAGGATAATATTCCTTCAGCTTTCTCTGTCTTGTAAGAAGAAACAAAGTCTTTTGTTGTTTTCCCTCATTAATTGATTATTTCATGTCTCAATGATAGTGTTGTTGTGCAGGGTGGGAAGGGGAGTGATCACTGTGGAATAGTAGAGCAGTGCATTGTGTAGTTTTGATGTTAATTGTAGGCACAAGTTCACTTATTACAGAACCAAGTGAGAAAGGCTGGGAGGGAAGAGGAAATAGCACAGGTTCTGTAATCACACATACTCACAGACACACACAGGAATCACCTAAAGTAACAAAAAAGCAGTAAAAAGTAAAACCAACAAATTCTGCCATGAAAATTCTCAAATTTCACATTTTTCCTGAATAAAGAATGAACATATGAGAGAGCATATTAAAAATTATAAGTGCTCAAAATCCCAGGTATGGAAAAATATATATTAACAACTACCATAATTGCAAAATATTTTGCTTTTTACATCAATGCTGGCAGGACATCAATATTGCTAATGTTTGCAATTTCGGGGGAGCAAGGGTGGAACAGAAAGATATATGGAAGAAACTGAGCTTGTAAGTAGTATAGGTAATTGCCTCCTTGCCATATTTCTTTCAGGAAATAAATAAAGTGATGTTTTTGTGCTGATTCTTTTTTTTTTTTTTTTTTTTTGGTGAGACGGAGTCTCGCTCTGTCGCTCAGCCTGGAGTGCAGTGGTGCAATCTGGGCTCACTGCAAGCTCCGCCTCCCGGGTTCACGCTATTCTCCTGCCTCAGCCTCCCGAGTAGCTGGGACTACAGGCGCCCGCCACCGCGCCCGGCTAATTTTTTGTATTTTTAGTAGAGACGGGGTTTCACCGCCTTAGCGAGGATGGTCTCGATCTCCTGACCTCGTGATCCGCCCGCCTTGGCCTCCCAAAGTGCTGAGATTACAGGCGTGAGCCACCGCGCCCGGCCTGTGCTGATTCTTAATACAACCAAATAGCCTTTGTTTTTAAAAGAGAAAGAGAAAGTAGAATTTCACCTTAATGGAATTAAATAAATGTGTGTGTATGTGTATATGTATATGTATATGTATATATGTATGTAAATATATGCTTAGCTGAATAAACATAATGGCCACTTTTGAATTTAGTGGGCTTCCAAACTCAATACTCCAGCACTTAAAATTTCAGAAAAATTTCTCAGAAATAGGAAACGGGGGTCCAGTAAGGCTAAGTTAGTTAGTGCCAAATCTGACAATTTGGTCTCTTACTTTTTCTATATCATGCCATTCTGGAGAGTGAGTGAATGAAGACAAATTGTGATGCAAGCCTCAGATTTTTATTTCTGCCACTTTTCTGACTTCATGCAACTGATGACCTCTCTGTAATTTTATTTCTAACATTGGGACCAAAATATTGTGTCTTCCACCAACTTCTTTGTAAGTATGAATCAGTTAACACCTGTAAATCACTTCGTGGCATTCAGGGAAATGTGTGATGTAAATATAAGGTAGTTGTAAAAACAAAACAAAACAAAATAAAAACCCAGAAGCTAATTTCCTTCAAAAAGCATTGATATTTAGCGAACATAATGCTGGCTTTGTCTAGCTAAGTTGCCAATATTTGGAAACAAAAGTTTTATTGTGTCACAGGCAGCAAGAGCAGGTGAGTTCTTTCCTAATGAAACAGTGAAAAGGAAGCATTGAAGCCTTTCAGTCCTATATGGGCAGAAGTAAAAATGTGGGGGAGAGAAAGGAAAGACAGCCAGAGGTACTCTGATGATATTTAAGTTTGATTATCTTATTATTAAATCTTAAAATTGTATATATAGGAAAATCAATATATGGGTTTTAGATTCTCCCATTGGTTCTCTAAAATCAGAGTTCCTAGAAATAGGTCATTGTATCCTTTTATCCTTTTAGGGTCCGATAGGATGTTTGTATATTAATGATATAGAATAGAGAAAGCTTATAGAATAGCTTTAATAAACTGAACAGAGTTCAAGGGTCTCCTTAGTTACTAATTTAATGTTGGTCTTTGAAATGCCTATTGTGTATTAAAATAACAAAAATGAAATAGCTACAAAAATGTATTTGCCACTACTAAAAAATGAATAAGCAAGTATGCTGTGTGATGAACAAGGAAATTCAATATATTTGCTAGCTTTGCCCTGGATCCTCTTTGTAAGGCTGATCCATACCAGAAAATACTGAAATACTTCCTTTATGATAAGACTATCCTACATACAAGTAAAAAAATAGCTTAAGAAAAAAAAGCACAGTGAGAAAAGGGGAAAGAAAGAGAAATGAAGGGAGGAAGGGAAAGAGGGAAGGGGAGAGGGAGGAAAAGAAAGGTAACAAATATCTATCTTGCTTCCCTGTTATTGGGAGGGGAAGGGACATCACTAACCTCAAAGGTTTTCAGTTTAGTTTAAGAAAATTCTTAAGGGGACATTTGTTAAAAAAAAAAAAAAAAAGGAAGTAGGGAATGCAAAACTCTACGTATAACAAATGGTAAGATATGAAAAACTTATTTATACTAGACACAGCTATGGAGAGAAGCATAGATTCTTTATTTTATTGCTAGCTGATCTATTTTGCCTGTCCTCCACACAGCTAGGTAAACAGGTGAATGGATGAGAAGGGGAGGGGACTAAATTCGGTCCAATCTCTTCATTTCATTTGGATACATCTTCGATCCTTCACATCTCTTTCCTCCGCTTTCCCAAGATGGCGTCTGAATGTATGAGTGGCCTCACTAACATATTCTTGAGGGAAAGGGGTCCTTGGACCCATGATGTCCTCCAGCTCCTCTGTCTCTGAAAATGTTCATTTCTCTGGTGGCTGCTTGCCCAGTTGGCTTTCTTGGCTAAAGTGGCATTCCACAGGTCTGCGGGTCTGGGGGTCTGTTGTTCAGGACCCAGTGAGACTTTCTGGTTGATGTGGCCTCATTGCAGCTTCAATGTAGTTTCTATTGACACCACAGAACCCTCTGAGTCTCTGCCTGGCCTCATTCTGCTGTAGCCAACTGCCATGATGAACCTCACGGAGAATCTGGCTGGCTGTCATCTCAGCTGTTGTCTGAGACCCCTGTCCTAAAGCTTTCTATGTTTCATCCACAGTATATAGGAAACAGAAATGGCTCAGTAAAGTTAAAGTCTGCAACCCCATTGCCTAATTACTGTGCAATCGCTGTCAGGTTAACTTTGTATGACCACCCCATTGTGTGCTTGGGGCAGTGGGATCTGTGCACCAGTTTCCTCCCAGAGTCCTTTGGGCTGTATATTCTCATCAAGCTCTCAAATATACCATCTTCTTTCCAGGTTGAGATCTCACTTTTCTCACCCCCAGCTTCTCTTGCTCCCTCCCACTTTTTCTTCTCACAGCCCTCCGGGGCTGGATGAAGCAAGACTTTTATTTTTAATACTTCCTCTTACCTCATAGCTGTGACTTCTCTTATATCCGAGTCTCTTCTTTCCTAACTTCAGTCTTGTTGCTAAGTATTATTCATGGGCAGGGATAGAAAAAAACAGGAAAGAATGGCCTAAATGTAGGGGAAAGTTTTGGAGGTATTTCAAAAGTATCTGACACATTACAAAAATAACAAGACCACCAAAAAAATTGAAGGCTGTAGGCTCTGAAAGAATGACATGGGAAAGGGTTCTAGAGACACAGACAGCAATGGGCTTAAGGAGAAAGTTGGCCAGTGACAAATTCCATGAGGAAGGTTGGCAGAAAAAATTTAACTTGCTTATATTCTGCATTGTACTTCTCCATTTTGTGCAAAACTTAATGAAATTTTACTCCATGAAAACAGAACTTCATGCTTTCTGCAGACCACAGTAAGGAAGGAGAACAACTCCAGGGAATAGATGACCGGCAAAATTCTAGAGGATCAAACTCAGAACATGAGTTCGGAGTGAGAGGTGTCAGGAGAATGAAAGTGATTTGCCCTTCCTCTTCTACTGAACTA
Source organism: Homo sapiens (assembly GCF_000001405.40). Taxonomy (NCBI): domain Eukaryota; kingdom Metazoa; phylum Chordata; class Mammalia; order Primates; family Hominidae; genus Homo; species Homo sapiens. The sequence goes on along the minus strand of NC_000015.10, from coordinate 36,365,603 downwards.
CTATCTTCATATCAAATTCCCAGAAATGGAAAAGTGAACAAGAAATCCCTTAGTAGTGAAATTACTGTGTTTTTTTTCCAAGTTACCTCTGTAATCAAATCACACAGTGTAGCAAGACACAATTAGAGCATACTTAACTTACGTAGAGTTTCGTTGAGAGCCTAATTCAGTTTAGGGCATGTATGCCTTTTACTTTATCTAAAATAGTTTACTTGCTTTATTTGAAGGTATTCCTGAATTGAGTGCTACAACCCGGTAGAACAGTATTTCAGAGGTCAACATCAACCATAAATAGTCTTAGAGAAATACAGTACATGCAGGTTATTTCATGTGAAGGGACCTTGATTTTAGGTCTCCTGGTACCCCATCTGTATCTAAAGTAAGAGTTTCAGAGCCCACGAATTTTACCACATGTGTTTTGTTACCACTGAAAAGACACCTGACTTGCATTCACCTGAATCATTTATTATCCTTTTTCTTTCTCTGCCTCCACTCTGGGCTCTCTAGAAAGAACTTTTGCTATAAAGTCATTTCCAAGTGATGCTTCTCTTACTGTATTCCTTTCAGAGCTAATTAGTTCCAGAATTTTCATCTTTTTTTTATGGAATCCTAGCACCATTTTCATTAATCATTTTTGTTCTCTGAATCTTCCCTCTGGCTTCTGAGACTGCATATTTAAGGGAAACAGCCAATAGTTAATTTGTATTTTTTTTTGGCAAAATATAAAAAAGATTATCATCTTTTTTTTCTGTCTTTTAATTCAGTACAATAACTCATTTGCTTGCCTCACCACTGCATCTTATGCAATAAAATAGTCATGTGCAAATGACATTTTAGATGTGAGTTTGAAAGATCTGTATTTCAGTAGGACCCCATAATGTGAGTAACTCTTTGGATACTATAGCACGGCAGGGAGCCTGTTTTATAATGGTATATTTGAAAGATATATTTATTGTTCCCCCACAAGAAAAAGCCAAGAAGAGAAGGAAAAATAAGTAAAACTTTAGTCGTGAGGCAGAATCCCTGGGGTACATTTGGGGCCATCAAAAATCTGACCCCTCTTCCCAAACGAAAGCAAAACTTCCAGGAGTTCTTAGTCAGCTTATGAACAAAGAAGAGAACATACAGAAGTAATGAAATTTCCAACTGTGGAGAAAAGCACTCATTTATTTTTTTAAGATCAAGGAATGATTGATGTGGTTGCAATTTGATGTTTGCTTTTAAAGAAACTCTTTATTTCACTATATTACCCTCTTTCCTTTCCTCTAGCTATTTTACAGCAAAGCAATACTCACCTTATTCAGACTTCCAGGGTTGGATTGAATGAAGCTTGGTTTATTTTTCTGTTCTTCCTATTCTTTAGTCCCTAGTAATTCCACATTTGTTACAGTAATAAAAATTGTGGCAAAGTCATGTCTATTTTTACTACTAAACTTCCAACTGCTTTTGAGGTCCTTCGTTATTTCTTTGAGCACGTTCATTCAGGCAAATACATATAATATGTTTGGTTCAGTGTTAGTTAAACCCTATTCATCTCTAAATTTCAATCAAAACGTGAATCAGGAAGAGAGTTTGTGTGTGTGTGTGTGTGTGTGTCTGTATGTGTGTGTCTGAAGATTGAATTTATTAAAAATATCACTAAAGCATTTCTGTGCTGGTAGCAAAACTAGTTTAGAATTCATGATGCTTTTTTTAATTAAAAAGTTTTTTATTTGGTTTCTCAAGGCAGGTTTGGGAGGACTGTGTGCAGAAGACAAGTAAGGCTGAGCATCTTACAGTTTCTTTCTAGAATGTCCATGTTAGGACTTTTCTAAACTACACAGAGACACACACAGACACCAAAGAGGTAGAAAGCTGGTATTTCTTTCATATTGGTAATAGTCCATTCCGAATTTTTTGTATGTTTATGAACATCTTCTAAGTTAGAGTGAGAATTTATCAGAGCTGAGGGAGAGGAGCATCCTGTTCATTCCTTGCTTCTTCTAGAAAAGCTCTCTGAGGAATTACAGTAAGAGGGATCTTCACTGAGACGAATGGATGACGACAAGTATGTGTAAAGTTGCCAAGTCACACCCCAGCATTTCAGGCATTCAGGACTACACACAAAGGTCCTTAGTACTACATGGCTCTTTGTAATAGGAGCCAAATACAAAATGCCAAGTGTCAGCCACCAAACAGGTTCAAAGGTTTGCTCTAATATATAGTGATATCGCTTGTTCCAGTTACCTGGGAACTTTGAGTGAGGGGTGGCTTCATTTCTTTCTACTTTTATGAGGACCCCTTGTCGCAGATTTCTACTTAAAGCCATTTATGACTGTAGCAGATGTTTCTGGTTTAGAAAGAGTACTTTTTTGAACCATTTCTTTCTGTCTTCCCTCTCAACTCCTCCTCCTTGCTCCTCTCAGGAGCTAATTCCAGCCAGGTTGGAAATTACAAGCATGTTGTTTAGTGCTGGGAATGATGTGCTGACTGATGAGCAGAGGTGGGGCTTGAACTGGGGTCCTGAGAAATAGACTTCAATAGATTAGAGTATCAGTCTACTGAGAAATGTGCCATGCAGAAGCTTGATTTTCCTTCAGTCCAACTTAATTTTTCAGAGACTGTAACTGACACTGGCAGTTCTGAGCCCCTCGTTCCTTCAGCACAATTTATCAGCACAAGGTCAGAGAATTCTTTTGGGCCTGTTTCTCATGAGCAGTGATAATTATGCATGTAGACAGCCCGACTCGTATTATGTAATGCGCTGAATGAAGCAGGGAGAATGGTTTTGATTTAGAATCATAAGCACCGTCACCAGACCCAAATACGTCCAGCATCCAAGTAACCCAGGAATCACCTCTCATGTTCTGGATCAGATCCATCAACACACCCCCAATGAGGACACATCCTTTTCCTTACGACTATTGATGGGCTTTCAGCCTGACAATTCAGAAATGTGCCATTGATGTAGGCCACATCCAGGGGAGAATGCCTTCTGGGATTCCTCAGTCATCGGCCTAAGAGGGAGTGTTTTGGTGGCAGGAAATGTCTCTAGATAATGCATTCTTCTAATTTCTTTTTCAAATACTTTGCATCTCAGCTATTAGTCAGGGAAGCTCCCACTTTTCCCTGTCAGAGCCATTCACCCATTTGGCTCAGGTTTTGGGTGTGAGAATGGAGGAACTATGTTCATTTCACTGCAAGGATAAGCAGATCAATGCTCCTGTCGCTGTCTGGTTAGATGATATTTCACATCACTCTAAACAAAAGCATTTCCAAGTGAAGATGAAAAGTGGTAGTAAAAATAGACCGTTTAAGTAGGTACTCTGTGCTACCCTTTCCTACTAAAAACCCATAAGATTTTATTAACACTTAAAGCTCCTTTTTGACCTTTAGGGAGTTTTTATATTTCACAAGCTGTATAGCCTCTTATCCTTGAAAATAATTAAAGGAATTTAGGAAGATGCTAGGGTTACCTATAACTCATGAGATAGTTAAATGTAGGTAAACCAGATAGTTGAAAGTTCACATCAGAGACGAAAAGCATTAAAAGGACACTTTAGTAATGAGTGGCCCAGGTCACGCTTCAGGACCACCCACATTTCTTCCCTAGACATTCAATGCAGGGGACAAATCAATACCCATCAGCCTTGGTCACTTTCTCACTTTTCTTCCAAGGACTATTGCTGTTGCTTTCTTGGAAATAAAACAAAGACACTAACCAAAACCCTGCTGCTCTTTATTGAATGATGTATTGACAGGCATAGATTCACAAAACATGCTAGCCATGATATTGCACTGTGTTGTGACACCGATTTGTAAAAACAAGTATCTTAACCATTTGTCATTTTTGCATTGTTTGCCAGCTTTTCTTTTCTTTAACAATTTTCCAAGGTTATTTATTTTTGTGTGTGGCTGAAGATAAATATGTTTCATTTGAAAACTCTTCTTTAGTAACATCGAGAACAAGAGAAACCCAGTTGTATATTTTTTGTGAATTTCTCCAGTTTGTATATTTTCTCTTTCTCTTTACATCATTTCAATCCAATCAGATGTCTCAAGGAAGTGGATGCCAGGAATGATGAATCACTGAAGCCTGTTGGGGGATCCACACTCGAGGTAGGTGGAAGAGTGCTAGAACACTAAAGCGTGCCACGGCCTCCCAACAGAGATAATACCTTATGCTTGACAAATTGAGAATTGGCATCTAATAACTTGGTATATTGAGAATTAGACTATACAAAAATGTATGTCTGGGAAAAATATTTAAATGCTATTTTAACTGCCAGAGAGAAATCTACTATTAGTGGCTCATAGTGATGTAGTTTAGAGAAGCTTAACCATGGTGACTCTATATGGATACCTTATACAACAAAATTAATAAGGTATGCTGGTGGTTATTCTTTATTTGTTAAGATTTTAAATAATCCATGTGATAAAAAGTCAAGAATTTATTTTAGTTAATGTCATTTTATTATTTTTGTTCTACTTGTGTGTGTTTATGTTTCTGAATTATATAGTGTATTTTCTCCATTACCTTTCATTTTAAGCACTACCGAAAATTCTGTGTTACATTATGGCTTACTAAGAATGCTATTGGATGATGTGATATTTAAAATGTCTATATAATATTAATATTTTCACAAATATATGCAATACATATATTCAAAAGCCTATTTTATTTTTTTCTTTTGTTAAAAATAACACTTTTTGGTCAGATATTTAAAACAATCCAAACTATTTCATAAATATTCTGCAGAAAAGCAGTGTGAGTTCAGAACTGTAGTTTGTATTGAGACAGTATAGTGGAATACACCTTGTTACGTTTTGTGAAGAAATTCCTAAACACATTAGCATGGAAGTAATAATATGAATATTTTTCTTATTTTCTGAGAACACTTCATGTCATTCTTTTTATGTCTCATCATTTTATTTTTCACCATCCTCAATTGCTCTTGCTAACAGCCAAATTGGAAGACAACATTAGTTTCTATCTCAAAATCTTAGAGATGAAGAGGAAAGGTAAATTTGTACTCCTTTACCAATTTTAGATTTGAGATCAGCACAGTTTTATATTTGTATACCAAATATATATAAAACGATATTTCTCCCGAGGTTCAGTTCGAATCAGTTCATCTCTCTCCCTCCATTCCCCCCAGCAGATCATGTGTTAGGGTCTATAGAATGGCACAGAGGGAAATTATTTATGCTCTACCCTCTCAAATCGTGGAGAGGGACCACCAGTAACATATGCCCTTAAGCAGGCTGATGCTTAGGAAAAGGATAGACTGTTACATGAGAATTTCACAGAAACAGTGAAACTAAAAATGAGGGCCTAAGTGCAAAGAGCATCGAATTTTTATCCATTGAGAAGTGGTTAAAAATTTTTTTGAGTTGGTACAGTGTGTCTTGCATAAAATTTGCCACTCTGCCTCGGCTAGGCAGGATGATGAAGCTATATTTCATAAACAAATAAATGGTTATCAACAGGAGATTTCTAATGCTAATTAATTTAATTTCCTGCATCCAGGTGCCTTCTAGAAACTTTATTCATTATTATTAGGTATATCTAGTTAACACCAGTTTAATTATTTTCTGATTCTTAGCCTTGCCAAATGTAGTTTTTCCAATTTCAGTACTTTCAAAGAACATAACTCCTGAAGTTAAAAAGGAATTCCTATCTGGTGCAGAACAGCTATAATGGTACAGAAGCTGTTGAGCACTAAATCAAAATGAACTATTTCAATTAAGCACTAGGAGGGTTTTTGGTGGAGATGAGTTTGAACTAGATAAGCACTCACAGGATTCATTTGAAGGCTTAGAGATAATGCTGTGCTGGATTAGTCTTAGTCTTCACAAAGAGGAACCTCAGAGGGTCACTAAAGTCTTCTATCAATGTCTGTATTTTTGCCTCTGTGTACCAAGTGCACCCAAGTCCATTCATTGCCAGCTGATGAGAGTCTGCAGGCCTGTTTGCTATTTCGGCTAATCAGGGAACAGTTCACAAAAACTCAGTTCTTCTTCTAAGTTTCTGGCCTCTCCTTCTGCTGTTGTGGAGACAGTTTTTGCTGTGATGAGGTAGGTGAGATTTAGGTCTATCCTAAATGATGCGTAAACCATGCAACCCTGACTGCTGTTAACCACCATTTGCCTTTGCTGGGCTCAAGCCAGCTTTTCTTTGGCATAGCTGATTTTGCTCGTGGTGAAATGTGCCAGGGGCATCACTGATCAAAAAAGGAAGTTGGCCCTTATCTTCGGCTATAAAGTTGCCCAAAAGGAACCTTTGAGCAGAATTCTCATGCTTGATTTTTTTTTTTTAATAGTTGTTTCCCAGCCCAACTCAGGGAAATTTCCCAAGGACCATCACGTTTTACTTTGGTAGCATCCCTAGGATTCTCTTTACCTCCCTTTGTTCCAGCAGTGTTGTGGTCCATCTTCACATCCTTAAATGCTTTGCTTTCAATGCATTGGTTTTCTATATAAGTATTAGATTCTAAATTCAGGTGTTATGGAGCCAAACTACTAGCAATCTCTGAAAGCTTCTCATTCTTACTTCCCAGAGTTTCGTTGTGTTCTTAGCTGTTGTATTAACAATTCAACTCTCCAGATAATCTCCCTATGGCATATGCAACATGGGCATTTGGAATACAGTCTTATATCTTTATGAGAGACACAACTAATTTTTACACATATACCAATATAAGCATTTCTTTAAAAAGTTCCCAACAAAGAACACAAATAAACTAACCATTGCTAAGAATTATTTTGGGGGGTGGAGGTGGCCTTTATCTGGTGAAATTCCAGTGGGCAGAGAGCTTGAGCCTGGTGGTTAATTTTATATCAGATTTCAGCCAGCCGGCAGTTACTCTTGTCTGCCGGTAGACTACTTTCTCTGTCACTTGGTATTAGATGTATTACACACCAAGCAGTAATTATCTTTGACACATAATTATTATGGTTTTGATGACAAGAAAGTCTTTTCTTTCAGTGCTTTCATAACATATATTCCTGAAAGTCCAGGCTTGCAAAATGCAGCTAAAAATTAAAAGCACTTGGATTCAGATTGAATTTGAGGAGAGGGAATAAAAGAAAAGAATTTCTTGCACATGGAGGAGAACAGTTTGAGAAGAGCAGAAAAAAAAAAGAAAAGGTATAGACTATTTGAAAGTTTCCCAGATGACCTCATCTAAGTAGGTTGCTGAACAGGAATAAAATCTTCGAGGGTCATTAATGCATTGGGGAAAAGCTGCCTGGATGCAGCCATGTCACTTACTCAGCAGGAAAAGGGTGCCTTTAAAATAATAAACTGATGAAGGCTTGGATTTAAAGAGAGAGGAGAGAAAAGAAGGAGGCTCCCGGCAAGGCCACAGAAACCACACAAATGAGTTTCTAATCTTGCCACATGGGCATTTTCCAGCTTTGAGCTCTGAGTCAACCTCAGCTGCAGGCCTGGATGAGCAGTTTAACAATCCTTGCCCCTAAAGACAGATTTTTTTTAAAATAAATGATCAGAATCAGACATCTTGAGTTTCTTGAGCCTGGGGGCTCTGTGGTATTTAAACAGGCAAGTGTCTGGTGCCCCTCAAGCTGTGCCTATGGCTGTGTTCTTATAAGTCCTGGTCACCAAGCTGTGGCTGCAGAGCTTGGTATAGGCTCACTTGGACAAGTCCCTGAAACTTATGTTTAGGAGCATCTGGGGACAGTGGGAGGTTGTGAAGAGGGTGAATAGGGTGGAGACTAGGGGAGAATGGGGTGGGTTGGAGACACTTGCTGAAGACTAGCATTATAATACGTGGATGTAATAATTTAACTCTAGGAAGTTGATGTTATCCAGCATCTGATTAGCCCAAGAGGAAATCTACTGGGTTGGGTGATGACAATTGGGCTGTGACCAAAGCTGGTTTCCTTTTCTCCATTTAGAAGTAAAAAATGTGGACACCAGGGAGTCCCTTATATTCCCAAGGGTGCTACCTCTCCTCATAGACTTCTCAGCTCAAACTCAAATAATAATAATCAAGCAAACATACTTGAATGCAGCTCTAATTTTAGTTCATTTTATTATTTAGAGATGGAGAGTGGAGGAGGGGAGGAGGTGGAGGCTGCCATCTATGACTAACGCTGTCTCGCAAGCTCTTAAGCCATATTTAGTAACGTGGAGTATAAAAATAAGCTTTTGGTTCAATTTTTTTTAAGTTGACTTCTGTTTCCTTTCTTCTGTTCCCTCTCCCAAAGACGGATTTAACTAATTACACTTTCAGCTGAATGCTGATAGACATGTATTTATTATCGGTGCTGTAAGCCCTGGAATTCTTTCTTCCCTCTGTGAGGCCACAGACATATATATTAAACTCCAGTCTCTGTGAGCTGTCAGAGTTATGGTCCAGCCAGAGCAGTGCAATATGATAAAGTTTTCAGGCCCTGTTTAGTTAAGACTGAAGATCTGGTACCCAGCCAATATCCACCACTCAGGGCTCTTTTCACAGTCCAAAATGATTTGGCTTAAACGTTTCCAACTGTGATGAGGTCCCATTTCAGTGATTATGCAGTCATTCACTTTTCCACATCAACATCAAAGTCATTAACAGCCGAGTATTATTGCGTTGGCTGGAATTCAGTTAAGAACTAGAGGGAAGTTGCCCTTTATTAAGATAAATCATTGCCTTGGTTATGTCACCCATGAAATAATCAATTTACTGTGTTGGTTAATTTCCTTCCTCTTTGATCTGTGAATTAAATTCAACAGATCATTGTTTCACACAACTACCACTCAAAAGATGTTTCAAGGGAAAAATGCATACATATGTTCTGATTGCTGCAGTCTTACAAGTATGATAAACAACACAGCAACACTAAGGGCTCAGTCCATTCTATCATTTATTTCCACAGTTATCTTATCTTCCCAATGCTCCAAGGGCAGTGTAACACCCTGATCGAGCTGGGCGATCCTCTCTCGGAATTCCTAAAGTGTTCTGCTAAGAAATAAAATGTTAAGCAGAGCTAACCTTAATGCTTTTGGGATCATAAACTTGTACCAAATCCAATGTAGGATATTCTTGTCTGGAATTTAGGATGAATAAGCCGTGATCTTTACAGGGATATTCACTTATAAATGTGAGGCATCCTTTAGAAGAATCTCTCTCATAAATACAAGGCATTCTTTGCTCCATAATTCATGGTTTCTTATGGGGAAAAGAAGTTGAGTGGGATGTTTTATTTTTCCTTGCTTTGGTGATTCCTCTGATAAATATTCTTGCGCTTGGATGATTTAAAAATATATATTTTATAATGAAATATTTCAAACATGTAGACAACTATAGAGAATAATATAATAAAAATCCATGGACCCATAACACAATTTTATCAAATCTTAACATTGCACTTTAGGGGTCTGTGTGTGTGTGTGTGTGTGTGTGTGTGTGTGTATGTGTGCTTTAAGAAAATAAATCTCATAGATATAGTTGAGGATTACTATGTATTCCTTTTCTATCCTTATTTGTTCTCTGTCTCCTCAAAGGAAATGGTTATCATGAGTTCATGCATATAAATGTTTTCTGATTGTTTTTGACTACATACTTTTATGACTATGAACAACATATATGCTATTTTACAGGTTTTTTTAACCTTTTGAAAATGATATTACACCCTATGCATTCTTTTGTATCTTGTTTGTTTCATATACATTATATGTTTGGGATTTACCAGTGGTAACACAGGTAGATCTAAGCCACAGTCATTTTAACTGGAACACAGTATTTAATTGTATAAGTATATGTAAATCTTAGCGATGTGTCTTTGTGCACAGGTATGTGCTTTTTTCTCCTAGGGCACATACCAAAAAAACAAAAAAAGGGGGTGTGTAGATTTTTGGGTCATCAGAAATGCACATCTTCAACTTTACTAGACATTGCCAAATTGCCAATTTATACTCCCACCACTAGTAAATGTGAATCCTAATTTCTCCAAACCTTCTGTACTAGAATGATTAAGAATAATTTTCTTTTTGGAAATTTGACTTAAGCATCTCTTCTCTGGCTTCCATGTGCTCAGTCTACATACTGAAAATAAAGTGGAAAATTGTAGCCATCATCATTCTAATGGAGGTGGAAACTGCCTAGATAATTATCTCTTAGCTCTGTTAACCTTGACTTTGTAGATCTGGCTAAAGAGATACCTGTCGTCAAAATAATAGAAAAGGTTAGGCTATGGTTTGAAAAATTTGGCTAGCTCTTCCTAGTCAGCTGGGGTGGAGACATCTGACAATTTCCCAGATACTTCAGGCCCCAAGCAACACTTTCTCAAACTGTTCACAACAAACACAGGGCTGAAATCTTAATCTCTTCAATCTCAATTTGCGTAGATATGACCAAACTACTGCAAAAAAAAAATTTTTAAGTCTCTTGAGTCATAAAAATTAAATAGCATTTATTTGGTACTTAAGAGAATATTGAGCGTGGTGACCACTATTATCTTGTACTTAGGTTAACACGAGACACTGCATCTAAGAATTTATAATAGAAAAAGTAAAACCAATATTAACTGAAATTAGTAGGATCAAACCTAAACATGCATAGGAAACGATACCACCAACTGTGGTTAAGCCCAACTTCAAAATGCTGGTCTTCCCAAACAAGGTGACACGAACTCCATCTGAGAGACACAGAAGAGGATTCAGAACTATGTCTTCAGCCAGACTGAATCAAGGTTACTCCCCAAGCAAGAGGGAATAGGGCCTGGCATCAGAATCCATTCTACATTTTGTATATTTAGTTATATGTAAGTATGCATATTGTATAGAACAGTCTAAAAATTATGTATTGACATGATTATTTTACTTTACTCTTTTGCAGATCAGGGACTGGAAATTTTCCCATGTCACTTTTGCTATTTCTAGGTGGACGTTAGGCATCAAATCAAATGTGTGTTTTGTTTTTTTTTTTTGAGACCGAGTCTTGCTCTGTCGCCCAGGCTGGAGTGCACTGGCGCCATCTCGGCTCACTGCAAGCTCCGCCTCCCGGGTTCACGCCATTCTCCTGCTTCAGCCTCCCGAGTAGCTGGGACTACAGGCGCCCACCACCACGCCCAGCTACTTTTTTTGTATTTTTAGTAGAGACGGGGTTTCACCGTGTTAGCGAGGATGGTCTTGATTTCCTGACCTCGTGATCCCCCGGCCTCGGCCTCCCAAAGTGCTGGGATTACAGGCGTGAGCCACCGCACCCGGCAAATCAAATGTGTTATAGTGGATCCTATTTCTATTTCAGGGAGAGAGTGGCTGTGTTCACTATTCTCAATTTGCTCAATTCATTCCCCACCTACTTTTGCTGCTCTGGAATGTAGCACCCAAAGTCTTCTTCTGTCCTCTGGCTTCTGGTTGGGTTTTGCGAGTAAGAAGCACCCATAAGAGACTGGAGGGTGGAGAGATAGGTAGGGTCTTTATTCCTTCCCCGCTTGCTTCCTTAGAACACTCACCAAGGAACAAATTATTTAAAACATTTCCCAAATTCACGGTGGGAACATGAATTCTGGATTGGTAAAATACAAGATCACTGGAAGAAGTTAGGTCTTAAATAATTGTACCTTTTATTATTATTATTATTATTATTTGAGATGGAGTTTCGCTCTTGTTGTCCAGGCTGGAGTGCAGTGGCGCGATCTGGGCTCACTGCAATCTCCGCCTCCCGGGTTCAAGAGATTCTCCCACCTCAGCCTCCTGGATATCTGGGATTACAGGTGCCTGCCACCATGCCCAGCTAATTTTTTGTATTTTTAGTAGAGACGGGGTTTCATCATGTTGGCCAGGCTTGTCTCGAACTCCTGACGTCAGGTGATCCACCCGCCTTGGCCTCCCAAAGTGCTGGGATTACAGGCATGAGCCTGTAATAATAATAGCGCCTGGCCCCTTTTATTATTTTTAATAAAGATAAATAAAAGGTAAAAGTTTTATTCTCAGATATCAAATTATAAATACCTTTAATATGTGTGAGTTTACTCAGAAACATATTCAAGCCTCAGTTTCTTCACCCACGAAATGGAGATAATAGCAGTACCTACCTGAAGGGCTGCCGAAAAAGAAGATATAAGTGAATAAACGGAAAGCATGTAGCATAGTGTGTAATATATAATAGGCGCACAACAAATTTGACTAATTAGTATCACTCATGTTTTTTTACTTCCATTTACTGCATCTTCTCAGAAATTAAATTATGACTTGTAGTTTTCAAAGTAAGTGGGAAAATTTTTCCAGGGTGCAGTTGAGAGATTATCTTTGCCAACTTCATTGTAAACACCTGTGGGTAGGATAATAGTTTTGAAAGATTCATTTTTTTTTCCTCTTGTGTTTTCCACTTGGGACCCTGGGGCCAGGTAATCCTGGTTTGAATTCTGGTTTCATCTCTTACTAATAGCATCACCTTAGATAAAACTAGTTTTCTCATTGGTAGCTTTGTAGGGATGTAGTGAGGAATAATCAGAAAACTCATGTAAGTCACTTAACTCAGCGCTAAATAAACGTGAGCCCCAATGATATATTATGGCCATTATTATTATGTTTAGTTACTCTTCAGGTGGCGAGGATAGGGTGAAAGTGACAAAATAACAAGCTGTGGGGCTCTGCGCAGTGAGCCCGCTTCTTCCTTAAGAACACCCTGCATCCAAGGGGAACTCTAGAACCTCGCTCATTATTGCCTCCGTGCGTTTGTCTATCTTGGAAAATCTTACTCCACCAGGCGGGCTTTGCTATATTTAGTCTATGCTAGACTGGGAGGACCTTTGCATGACATATTATATGCAGCATTCATTTAAGATAAGGTGATGGCAGGATTTGAAAGATACACTGGGGTATAGTGATTTCAGTTGCCCTGAGTCCCACGACATCTAACAGCTAGGTGTCATTTTCCCCAGTAAATCAATTTGTAAGTAAAATAACTTTCAGGGAAGGAGAGAAGATAATAAAAATTCTGTCCTAGCAAAGCCTTTCCAGCTCATACTCGTTGACTTTGTGGTTTGTTTCTGACTAGAGGGAATATTCAGGGGCTGAAGGGCCAGGGAAGATGCTGCTGGTGGAATCATCCTAAAACGTCTGGCACTCTCATCCACTAGAAGGATCTATGGGAACAATAAACCCAGGACAAATTCTGTTCACTTACGCCCACAGAAACAAGAATTTCTCTTTCATTTACGACTAGTTTTTGGTACTGCTGATGTCAAGATATTCTGTTGGGTCACTTCTGAAAAAGCGAAAGAGTAGGGGAAAAAAACCACAAGTATCAATTATGGACATCCTAGCATTTTGCGGGCTGAGACCTTTGTTGGAAGTGTCTGATACTTCAAACACACAGACTTTAAAATTTTATAGGCTAAGATAAATGATGTCTAAACAGCTCAATCTTTTTCAAAGACTCTTTATTTCAAAGATGGTTATTTTTGATGATAATTTCTCATTCTTAGATATTATTATATTAATATTTAGGGGATAAACTGGAACTTAATGGTAAATAAAGTTTAAAACTAATTACATTTGCTGTTAAATGGCCCCATCAATCTATATCTAAAATTTACCAAAATTTGACATTAATCTATCAAGTGGTTGGACATTGCCAGGGTATGCCTGGCTACTTTTTAGCAGTTCATATTTTATAATATTACTGTCTCCACATTACTAACATTAAGCATAATTTCATGGCAGAAAACAATTAGATTAATGAATGACTCTTGTGTTGTCAAATCCCATGAAAGCCATTTCTGCAAAACGAACTGGAAAATCTGTTCTGTATTTTAGAAGAGGTGGCCGTTTCTACACTAGACAAAGAAGGCCAACTCTTGTATTCAGCTACTAACATATAATTCTGCCCTGGAATTCTACCCTCAGAAAATGGTTCAATAAATTCACGTCCAAAATAAGTTCAAGTCCAGTGAAGCAGTTCATTATTCATCGGGTAGGATATGAAAGAGAAGCTTAATATTTTACTGATGATTCCAAGCCCAGTAAATTTTGTTATTTCTAATTCAGGTAAAAAGTCAACTCTCTATTACTTGTAATATTTCTGAATTAGAAGTAATTTCCTGTTTGAATTGATCACCATATATAGAAATTTCAAGGCTTGATTATTTTTCCTCACTGATAAGTATTTTTTGGCCTGTTGAGAAGTTGATTTTCCTAGAATTATTATACAACAAATAACCTTAAAAAGCAGAAAGTTAGACCACTGAGTCTCATTCTGGATTATTTATGCCAGAAACTCCCATAATGTGGGTCATTTTATTAGATTGTCCTTTCTGTACTTTGGAATATGTTTCTTGCAAAGTCAGATGAAAAAGAAGACTAATATCATAGCAATAAGTGAGAAATGTTAGCCTTTGAATACAGCTGAGGTCATTGTGCCAACCTTTCATCTTATAAGAAATGATGGGTCCAGAGAACTTAAGGGTCAGGACCCAGGTAGTTAACAGCAGAAGCTGAATTAGCAGGTGGGGATTTGACTTCCAATTTAATGCTCTCTGTCCTATACTAAGCCTGTTTCCATCTCTATTACTTCTCAAAAAATCTGTCAGATAGTTAGCAAATGTTCAATGACCTAAGGTGAGTGTGTGAGACTAATGCACTGCTGGAAGGTGAGGGAAGCTAAATCCTCAAGTGACAGACGACGGGGTTGCTCTGTCACAAACGCTCCATGGGTGTTGTGGGCAGGCAGGAAGGAAGAGTTGAAGAAAGGGGAGAATTAAGCACATCAGCAGGTAAGCCCTTCCTCTGCAGTACGCTGGAAGTGAACAGTGTCTCAAACCTAAGAAGACAATTTTTCCACAATTGCCCCAGGCTTCTCAGCAGGGCAGCTGGAGAGAACAGGATAAAGAAGAATTTCTAAAATTTTTGGGAAAGGATTTGAAGGCATACCACCAAAGAGAAAAATCATAAAATCATGAACAAACTTAAAGCATAAACAAAATTAAAAGACAAAAGGACAAAGTAGGAAGAGATATTTGCAACATAAAAACATAAGCAAAGTGTTAATATCTCTTTTCTAGCATTGCTGTTGTTAACAATGAGAAAATGATAAACATAAATGAAAAAAATAACAGGAGGTATAAGGATGTTAAAAGGGAGAGATACAATTTTTTCAATAAACATGAAAAACGTTATTCTCACACAGAATCAAATAAATGAAAAAATTCAAAACATTTTTTGAAAAGCTATCTTTCTTATATCAAACTACTAAAGATTAAAAATAATTAAAATGGCTGGGTGCAGTGGCTCACGCCTGTAATCCCAGCTCTTTGGGAGGCCAAGGTGGGCAGATCGCTAGAGGCCAGGAGTTTGAGACCAACCTGGCCAACATGGTGAAACCTCATCTCTACTAAAAATACAAAAATTAGCTGGGTGTGGTGGCACACACTTGTAATCCCAGCTACTTGGGAGGCTGAGGCAGGAGAATTGCTTGAACCCGGGAGGCAGAGGCTGCAGTGAGCCAAGATCGTGCCACTGCACTCCAGCCTGGGTGAGAGAGTGAGACTCCCCCTCAAAAATAAAATAAAATAAAAATGTACTGAATTGAAAGAGACATGGGTTGTTGCTAGTATCACTGGGCAAGTCTTTTATTGGTATAAATTTATTAGGGAATAATTTAACAATCTATCCTTAAAGCCTCAAAGTGGCTCTAGTTTTTGATCCAGCAACTCCACCTCAATTCTAAGGCAAAAGTAACCTAGCATGAAGTTTAAAAATGTGAAGGCCGGGCACGGTGGCTCATGCCTGTAATCCTAGCACTTTGGGAAGCCAAGGCAGGTGGATCACGAGGTCAGGAGATAGAGACCATCCTGGCTAACATAGTGAAACCCGTCTCTACTTAAAATGCGAAAAAATAGCCGGACAAGGTGGCGGGCGCCTGTAGTCCCAGCTACTTGGGAGGCTGAGGCAGGAGAATGGCGTGAACCCGGGAGGTGGAGCTTGCAGTGAGCCGAGATCGCGCCACTGCGCTCCAGCCTGGGCCACAGAGCGAGACTCCGTCTAGGAAAAAAAAAAAAAAAAAGGCGAAAAAAATCTAACAATTGAGGGATTGGTTAAATAAATAAGTATAACCTATGTAAAGTGCAGTTTTCTTATTGAAAGAATGTACATATTAATAGTACCTATTTTGATATTTTGTTGTGGAGTTTGAGGAAAATGTATGTAGTGTAGTGTGCATAGTAAGCACTCTATAGCCATATTATTATTATTATTTATTATTATTATTTGAGCCAGGGTCTCACTCTCTTGACCAGGATGGAGTGCAGTGGCACAATCTCGGCTCACTGCAGCCTTGATTTCCTGGGCTCAAGTGGTTGTCCCACCTCAGGCTCCTAAGTAGCTGGGACTACAGGCATGTGCCACCATGTCCTGCTAATTTTTGTATTTTTTGTAGAGACAGGGTCTCACTATGTTGCCCAGGCTGGTCTTGAACTCCTGGTTTCAAGCCATGCACACCTCAGCCTCCTAAAGTGCTGGGATTACAGACGTGACCACTGTGCCGGGCCTGTTTAGGATTATGTACATTGTTCTTTAAAGTTTTTAAAGAAACTTGGGGAAGAATGTTCCAGGTGGATGGAAATACCGTGAGATGTCATGTGTTTGGCAGGCTTGCTCTGGGAAGGGCAGGATGGGCTGTGTGTCTGGAGCCTGGTTGAGTGCAGGGGAGCAGTGGGCGATAATGATGATGAAGAGTTTGGAGAGGTGAATGTGGTCCGATTGCATATGGGCTTTTAGACCATGTTAATAATCTGACATCTTACATTGATCTGTTTACTATCTGTCTTCTCCACAAAGATTAATCTCCACCAGGGCAATTATTTTGTTTTGTTCACTGCTTTACCTTAGAATCTAGAACTGCACCATTCAATGTGGTAGCCACTAGTCACATGCGGCTCTGAGCACTTGAAATGTGGCTGGTTGCAATCGTGATGTAAACTATCTCAGTTAAAAAATATTTTCATGACATGTCAAAATGATTATATCTGGATATATTGGGTTAAAATATATCACAAAAATTAATTGCACTTTTTTAACTTCTCATACTACTTAAATTATACGTACATTTAATTTGTTTTATATATATTTAAAATGCATATGTGGCTCACATAATATAAATGTTAAAAGCACAGACATAAAAGACACATAGCCATCACCCAGTAAATGTTTGTTGAGTGAGTGAGTGAACAAATTTTTTTGCCTTGATTCTGTTTGACATGACCTCCCGATTTTAAATTTGTCTTGAAAACTGTGGGATTTGTGGTTAGAAGAGAACTTTTCTCTGATTGATATCTGTCCTTGCAGCCTCTCCCAGATGCTTATTTACTCCTGATCTCTCCTATCTGGCCCTTTTGAGCATTGAATACACATGTGATTTGCTCTGGTTGAGGTAGAAAGTTCTGCTGTTGCCTGTGTACATAGACTTGGATCTGACAAGACTGAACAACAGCTCTAGTAGTTTGCGAATTTTAGATCCACTGTCATAATCTTGGTGGACATTGTCATCAGGATTTGGGCAACGAATACAGCAACACTTACTTAATTTATTGGAAATGTCACAAGCCAACATACATGTAAAGGAAATTATGACATTAAGTGCCATTCATAGTGAGAAACATGTATGTGTAGGAAAAAACTCTGAAGTAAAGAGGCTGATTTTTAAGAATTGGTTTAAAAAACCTGCATCTTTCTAGGCATCTATAACTGTAGAGGGTTAAGTTTATATCTGTGCATTTACCTGTAGGGGGTTTATATGCATCTGTGTTGACCATGTATATCTTTATATAAACAACATTTTCCCAGCTATAGAAATTCAGATGAGTAAATTTTTAGAATTATAGATGGCCATAGAAAGTGTTTTCTAAGTGGATGACAGACACTGGGGCTGAATCCTGCTTCAGGCAGTAGCAAGCAAGTTAAACCATCACTGATTGACTTTTATTAACTCTGATTTGTAAGGCTGATAGGCTCAGGCTTGCAGCTGATGGACAGCTTTTTGTCACCCAGCCAAGATATGAATCCTAGAGAAATGCCAAAGAGAAGAGACAGTGTTGTTCCCTAAAATCCATTGTGCTTTGAACATTTGCTACTTTGTTTTTTCTATTTTACATACCCAAGCTGAAATGTTTTTACCAATTATTTTGTCATTCTTTATAAAACTTAGTTTAATCAGATGCTGAGTCTGATCTTTGTGCTTTAGGCTATGGCTGTAAATAGCAGCAAAGTGGAAATACTATTTGTTTAAGGAGCTGGAATGCATTGGTTCAGTTAAGAGAAAGCATAAAAGAATATGAACACAGCATCTCTTTTCTCAACCCCTAGCTCCCTCCAAAGATTTTTTTTTTCCCTAAGCTATCCTTAAATAATTTTTTATGGACTAGTTAGCTATGACTTGAAATCCTCGCATGTAACTAATATACTTATTTCTCTTTTTTGCTTGATTGAGCTCTAGGCAAAATTATAAGGCTTGCTTTTGAGAGCTCCCAGCTACTTTTTTTCATCCAACTCATGTTTGTTGAACATCTACTGCAATGGGCCAAGCCCTGGGCTTGAAAGGTGCTTTTGCAGGCATTGTATTTAAACTTCACAAAGTTATGAAGTTGCAAGTGTTTTCATTCCTATTTTCAGATGGAGAAATACATTCTCTAGGATGTTTTTAAAATGTCTCATGGCTTGTATGTAACAGCATCAGGTCCTCTAACTGTTTAGTGCTTTTTCTCTCATGCACAGCTCCTCCAAGTCCTTCTTTATGTTCCACTAATTAAAACCTGCTCTCTGAAATGATCTGATAATCTCATTCCCACTTAGATGTAAAGTCTGTTGAGGCTTAATGGGCTTCTAATTTCCTTTGAGATTTCTTCTTGGACCCTTGAGTTATTTAGAAGTCTGTTATTTCATTTTGAAATATTTGGAGGTTTTCTAGATATCTTATTGTTATTTAATTCTAACTTAATACTGTTCTGATCATAGAACATACTCTATCATTTTGATCCTTTGCAGTTCACTAAGACTTGCTAAATGACTTATGATCTATCTTGGTGAATGACCCATTTGCACTTGGAAAGAATGTGTAGTTTGCTGTTGTTGTGCATAGTGTTCTCTAAAAATATTTTAGGCCACATTGTTGATATTGTTCAAATCTTCTATAGTCTTACAAATTTATACTTGTTCCATCAGTTACTGAGAGAGGGATGTTATATCTCCAACTGTGGACTTGTCCATTTCTTCATTTATGTCTGTAAAATTTTTATTTATATATTTGGGGACTTTGTTATTAGTTTCATATGCATTTAAGATTATTATGACTTACTGATAAGTTGATGTTATCATTATGAAATCTCCTTTTTTTATCTGCCAATACTTTTTATAAGTCTTTCTGACACTAACATACCACATCTGCATTCTTATACTTAGTGTTTGTATAATTTACTTTTTCTATCTTTTTACTTTTAGCCTGTCTATGTCTTAATCTTTTCAGCATGTTCTGGTAAGCAGCATATATGTAGTTAGGACTCATTTTTATTTTCTTTTTTTTCTTATTTTCTTCCCCCAGTCTGACATTTTTTTGCCTTTTAACTGGGGCATATATTAGTTTGTTTTGTGCTACTATAACAGAATACTTGAGATTGGGTAATTTATAAAGAACAGAAATTTACATCTCACAGTTCTGTTGGCTGGGAAGTCCAAGATCAAGGTGCCAGCATCTGGTGAGGGCCTTCTTGTAGCATCCTTACATTATGGAACATGGAAGGACAAGATAGCCTAACACTATGTGAAGTTTATTTTATAAGGGCATTAATCCCATTCACATGGGAGAAGTCCTCATGATCTGTCTAATCACCCGTCAAAGGCCCCATCTCTTAATACTACCACATTGGCAACACCTGAATTTTGAAGGGGACACATTCAAACCATAGCATTCTGTTTCTGCCTCTCCAAAATTCATGTTCTTCTCATATACAAAATACATTCATTCAATGCCAATGGCTCCAAACATCTTAACTTGTTTCAGTGTCAACTCAGAAGTCTAAAGTCCAAAGTCTCACCTAAATTAGATATTGATGAGACTCAAAGAATGACTCATGCTGAGGCAAATTTTCCTCCAGCTGTGAGCCTATGGAATAACACAAGGTATATGCTTCCAAAATACAATGTTGGGACAGGCACAGACATACATTTCTATTCTAAAAGGGATAAACAGGCAAGAAGAAAGAGGTAACAATTCACTAGTAAATCCAAAACCCAATGGGGCAAACAACATTAAATCTTAAATCTTGAAAATAATCTTCTTTGAGTCAATGTCTCATCTTCTGGACACACTGGGGTGGGGCCTTTGTCCCCACAGCTCTGGGAAGCCTGACACCTGTGGATTTGCTGGGCACAGCACACACAATCTGATGAGTTGGGGTCTTGTGTCTGCAGCTTTTCCATGCTGACATTGCATACTGGTGCCTGACATCGAGGGGATGGCCCTGCTCCCATGGCTCAACTAAGCATTGCCCTAGTGCAGGCTTTCTGCAGTGGCTCTGCACCTGGAGCAAGTCTCTGACTGGGCCCTGAGGCTGTCCAAAACATTGAAATCTAGTTGGAGGAAAGCATGCCTCCACGTCTTGTGCACTCAGTGAGCCTGCAGAACTAGCACCATGCAGACACTGCCAAGATTTATGGCTTGTGACTTGCAGAGCAGTCTTTTAAGCCCCACAACACAGCATTAGTTCATTTACATTCAATTTAATTCTTGATATGTTTGGATTTAAGCTTACTATCTTGGTGTGTGTTTTCTTTTTGTCCCATATGCTTTTTGTTTATCTACTTTTCCTTTCTTGCCTTCTTGGGTGAAATGAGTATATTTTAATATTCTGTTAAATCTCTTCTACTCTAAGATTATGCCTCTTGGTATTATTTTTTAGTGGTTGGTCTAGTTATTAAAATATTCATCTTTAACTTTTTATAGCCTACTTAAAATCTACTACTTTATAATTAGTGCAAGAATCTTAAACCATTATACTTCCAATTATTAGCCATGTCTGCCCATCATGCTTTTGTTGTTAAACATTCTATTTTGACCCAGGCTATAAGCCCCATAATATAATTTAGACTTTAATCAATCAATAATGGCTCTTTAAAAGTTTTACATATATCTATGCCTATGTATCTATCTCTTTTTAAAAAGGTATAGGTATAGCTATATTTGAGATATAAAATACATTTTATATGTAATTAAAATAATTTTATAGGATTTAAAACATTTAAAAATTTTCTATGTGTATATTTGTATGTGTAAATTATACATATATACATAACATCAGAATAATTTTTGAAAAATCCTTTATATTTGTCAACATATATTTCTCGCTTGATGTTCTTCGTTCCCTCCTGCAAAACAAATTTTACTTTGGTATTTCCTTTCAGACTAAATAACTTCATTTAGCATTTCTTGTGGTACAGGTCAGATAGAGACACATTTTTTCAGCCTTCGTCGTCTGACAATTTCTTTATTTTTTCTTCCTTCATAAAGAATATTTTCACTGGATTTAGTATCTAGGTTGACAGTTTTTTCTATTAGAATTTGAAAATGTTAGTTCATTTTCTTCTGTTCTCCACTGTTTCTGATGAATAGTCTTACTTCATTCTGATTGTTGTTCACTTGAGTATAAAGTGTGACTTTTTTCTTCAGGCTGCTTTCAAGATTATATTTGACTTTTAGCACTTTGACTATGATGCATATTGGTGTGGTTTTCTTTGTATTTATCCTGCTTGGGGCTTAATGAGCTTCTTGGAACTGCAGATAAATGTGTTTATCAATTTAGCAAAATTCTCAATCATTATTCATCAATTTTTTTGCTCCATTTTCTCTCTTATTTATTTGGAACTCCAATTATGTTTTTGTTAAACCATTTGATATTGCTCCTCAGATTTTTAGATGCTGTATTTTTTCACAGATTTTTTCTCTTTGCATTACAGTTTGGATAATTTTATTGGCATGTCTTTAAGTTCACTGGTGTTTTCTTCCTCTGTGTCTGGTCTGCTGATAAGTGTATGGAAAGAATTCTGATGGACTTTGTTATTATCTGTTTTAGTTCTAGAATTTCCACTTGGATCTTTTATACAGTTTCCATTGCACTAATGACATTTTCCATTTGCTCATCTGTATCTTTCACTGCTAGATCCTTTAATGTCTTATTGTGACTATTCTTTTTAAAAAATTTTCTGATTATTCTGACATTTGGATCATATGTGAATCTGGTTCTTTTGACTCTTTCTTTTTTTAAATGATGGGTCTTGTTTCTTTGCATGTCGTATAGTTTTGACGGAATGCTGTATATTCTGTGTAAGATAAATGTAGAGACCTACATAAATAATATTTGTGCCAAGAGGAGTGTTTTTCCCTTCTTCTGTCACACTGCTAGTGTGGGCACTGAGTCAAACTATTTTGAATTGAGCCAGGTTTGGGCCATATTGTTACTCTAGCAAGATTTAATTCAGCAGAGTCTTCAAATGATTAAGGGTAGGTTTAATGCATTCCCTTTCCGAGGGCTTTGGAGTTGTGTGTCTGGAGTCATTTTCTCAGTTCTCTTGCATTGCCTTCATTCTTCACTCAGCAGGTCCCACACACCTATACTTAATATGGGGAAACTCCTTGAGCTCTTTTACCTACTTCCAACAATAGGAGCCCACTGGTTGCACTCACTGTAAGACAGAGTGCCAGAAGAGTTTCTTCCCTTCTCCTCTCCATCCTCAGACTACCAGGCATTCAATGCCTGTGCCTGGCTCTGTGTGTATGTGTATATGAGGGACCATTTGCAGCTCTCCTGCCTTGCTTCCAGTATTTCTGGGGACACTTGGTGAAGGCCTATGGAAAAGACTTGACATAGTTTGGTTCTGTGTCCCCACCCACATCCCATCTCAAATTGTAATCCCCATGTGTTGGCAGAGTGGCCTTGTGGGAGGTGATTGAATCATGGGGACGGACTTCTGCCTTGCTGTTCTCATGACAGAATTCTCACAAGATCTGGTTTTTTGATAAGTGCATGGCTCTTCCCTTTCATTGTCTCCTGCTGCCATGTAAAACGTGCCTTGCTTTCCCTTTGCCTTCTGCCATGATTGTAAGTTTCCTGAGGCCTTCCAAGCCATGTGGAACTGTAAATCAATTAAACCTGTTTTCTTTATAAATTACCCAGTCTCAGGTAATTCTTTATAGCAGTGTGCAAATGGGCTAATGTAAGACTTGGTGGGTGGAAGCAGAATACACTTTGCATGACTTCGATTATTTTAAATTTGTTGAGGTTTTATGGCCCAGCATATAGTCTATCTTGGATATGTATAAAAATAATGTACATCTTGCTGTTATTAGGTAGCATGTTCTATTAAAGTCAATTAAATCCTTTTGATTGATGCTTTCATTGAGTTCTTTTATATCTTTGCTGATTTTCTGTCTAGTTGCTCTATCAGTTGTTGAGAAAAGAGTAGAGAAGTTTCTAACTATAATTGTGGGTTAATCTATTTTTTTCTTTCAGTTCCCCCTCAGCATCTGTTGACACTCAAGTCGGGGAGGGGAGGGAACCTCATTATTGCCGGGTGGAAGCGGGGTTTCCAGCTCCCCACTCATCCTCTATTGACACCATGGGGGTGGCCTGTGGCAATTGAGTGGTGGTGAAAGTCCTGACTCTCCAGTAGGCTTCTTCTGACACTACCCTGCTGAGAGGGGACAGGTACTTCTTTACTGCCAAATTGAGGGGTGACATGGTGAAGTTCTGACTCTTCATATGATATCCATTGAGAAAATCTTCTCACCACTCAGTGGGGATGAAACTCTGCTTTCTACATGGCCTTTCTGACACCATCCTGGCAGGCTGGCAAGGGTGGAAGAATAGACTTCCAATCAGCTTTTGCTGGTATAGATATGGGTAAGAATAAGTTTTTTCTGTGGTATTTGCCTGGAGTATATATTTGTCTAAAAGCCTTACATCTTGCTAGGCTGCCTCTTTCCTGGTCCTTTAAATAGAGAGAGCTGGCTGTTGTTGTTGTTGTTATTATTATTGTTATTGTTTGGGCCAGCTGGCATTTCAATGCGATAGTTCCTTTTGCCTAGTACATCATGTCTAGCTTTCGAAAGAAAAATTTCAAGACATACTAAAAGGCAAAAAACACAGTTTGAGGAGACAGAGAAATCATCAGACCCAGACTCAGATATGGTAGAAGTGTTGAAATTATTAGATTAGAAATTTAAAACAGCCCTGATTAATATGCTAGAGGCTCTAAGGGATAAAGTAGACAGTATGCAAGAACAGATGGGCAATGTAAGCCTTAAATTCTGTACGCTGCAAAGTTATCCTTCAAAAGTGAAAGAAAAGTAAAGACTTTCTGGGACAAATGAAAACTGAGGAAATTTGTTGCTAGTGGACGTGCTTTGTAAGAAATGTTAAAAGAAGTTCTTCAGAGGGAAGAAAAATGTTATAGGTCAGAAATTCAGATCTACATAAAGAAAGGAAGAGCATCAGAGTAAGAATGAGTGAAGTTAAAATATATACTATAATTTTTTTCTTCTTAATTGACCTAACAGGATACAGTTTGTTCAAAATAATAATGGCAACACAATATTAGATTATGTATGCTTTGTAGATATACCAATGCTATGTATATTTGTATAAGGAAGAAATGAAAGCTAAGTGATAGAAGGAATAAAAAAGAATTAGGAATATTTTGTGATTGTAAGATACTTGCACTATCAGTGAAGTGGTATAGAGTTATTTAAAAATGAACTTGCTTTAGCTGTAATTGCATATTGCAAACTCTAGGACTACCACTAAGAAAAAATAAAAAGGAAGTATAACTAGTAAGCTAAGAAATGAAAAAAAATTGAATCATATAAAATGCTCAATTAAAACCACAAAGGGTGGAAAGAAAGTAGAAGAAAAAATAGGAACAAAGAACAAGAGCAATAAATAGAAAACAGTAACATATATGGTAAATATGAATCCAAATTTATCAAATTACTCAACATCAGTGGTCTAAATATTATAAAAGAGATTACCAGAGTGGCTGACAAAACATGACACAACTATATATTATCTAAAGGAAACCAACTGTAAGTATAAAGACACATATAACTTAGAAGTAAAGAAATAGAGAAAGAAATACCATGCTAACAACTAAAAAAATAAAGCAGAAGTAGCTATATTAACTTCAGACAGAACATATAAAGTTAGCAGGGATAAGGAAGGGCATTATGTAATCATAAAAGAGCAAATTCTCCAGAGAGACATAACATTCTTTAAGGCGTATGTACCTAACAACAGAGCATCAATATACATGAGGCAAAAACAGATAGAACTACAAGAAGGAATAGATGAATGCACTATTAAAGTTGGAGACTTCAACAACTCTGTAACAGAAATGGACAGGTCTAGCAAGGAGAAAAATCAGTAAGGGCAAAATTAAACTCAACAGCACAATCAATCAACTAGAAATAATTGACATCTATAAACTACTTCATCTAACAACATCAGAATGCACATTCTTCTCAAGCTCACGTGGAACATTTGATAAGATAGAGCATATTCTGAGCCACAAAACACAACTTACCAAACTTAAAAAAGTAGAAATTATAAAATGTCTGCTCTCCGACCATAATGGAATTAAACTAGAAATCAATAATAGAAAGATATCTGGCAAGTTCCAAAACATTTGTATATTAAACAGCACACTTCTAAATGACACATGGTTCTAAGAAGAAATCTCAAGATAAAATATTTTAAAATAAATGAAAATAAAATACAGCTTATAAAAATTTGTGGCGTGCAATGAAAGCAGTGCTTACAGAAAAATGTATAGTATTGAATGAATATATTAGAAGAAAGATATGAAATCAATAATCTAAACTTTCACCTTAAAATACTAGAAAATCAAATTAAATCCAAAGTAAGCAGAAAAAAAGAAATAATAAAAATAAGAGCAAAAAAAATAAAAGAAATTGAAAATAGAAATTATTGATTCTCTCAATGAAGAAAATCAACAAAACCAAACCTGGTTCTTTGAAAACATCAACAAAATTGATAAGCCTCTAGCCAGACTTACTAAAGATAAAAGAAAGAAGACATAGATTTCTAGTATCAGAAATGAAAGAAGAAACATCACTACAGATCCCATGGAACTTTAAAGAATCATATTGAAATATAAACAACTCTATGTTTACAAATTCAGTAACCTAGATAAAGAAAACCAATTTCTTGAAAGATACACTCTGCCAAAATACAAGAAGAAATAAACAGTTTGAATAGGACTACCTATATCTGTTAAGGAAACTGAATCAACAATAGTAACCTTTGAAAACAGAAAACACCAGACCCAGATGGATTTATTAATAAGTTCTATGAAACATTTAAAGAAAAACTTATACCAATTCTCTACATCTCTTTGATAGAATATAGTTGCAGAGCGAATACTTCCTAACTCATTCTATGAGGTCTGAATTACCCTGATACCAAAACCAGGAAAAGATATCACAAGAAAAGAAAACTACAGACTTATATCTCTCATGAATATAAATGCAAAAATCCTAAAATATTAATAAATTAAATCAAACAATATATAAAAATAATTATACACTGTAACCAAGTGGGATTTATCCCAAGTATGCAAGGCTGGTTCAGAATTTTGAAATCACTTAATGTAGTCAATCAAATCAACAGGCTAAAAATGAAAGGCTAAAAAACAAAGATAACATGATTGTATCAATAGATGCAGAAAAAGCATTTGATAGGTTCCAAAATTCATTCATAATAAAAATCATCAGCAAACTAGGAATAAGGGAAAACTTCCTCAACTTGATAAGGAATATCCAAAGAAAGCTAACATTATATTTCATTAGTGAGAAACTGGAAGATTTCCCACTAAGATCAGATATAAGTCAAGGATGTCTCCTCTCATCATTCCTTTTCAACATTATACTAGAAATTCTAGCTAGTGCAATAAGATGAGAAAAAGAAATGAAAGGTATACAAATTACGAAGGAAGAAATAAAGCTGTCTTTGTTTGAAGATGACGTGATAATCTATGTAGAAAATCTGGAAGAACTGATTTAAAAAACCCCACCTGGGATTAATAAGCAATTATAGCAAGGTTGCAGGATTCAAGGTCAATATACAAAAGTCAGTCACTTTCCCACATATCAGCAAGTGGAATGTGAAATTAAAAACACAATATCATTTACATTAGCATCCAAAAAAATAAAATGCTTAGGTATAAATCTAACAAAATATGTACAAGATCTATATGAGGAAAGCTACAACACTCTGATAAACAAGAGAAGAACTATATAAATGGAGAAATATTCCATGTTCATGATTAGGAAGACACAATATTATCAATATGCCAGTTCTTTCTAACTTGATTTATAGACTTAATGCAATCCCAGTATAAATTGCAGCAAGATATTTCGTGGATATTAATGAGGTGATTCTAAAGTTTACATGGAAAGGCAAAAGATGGAGAATAGTCAACATAATACTAAAGAGGAAGAACAAAGTTGGAAGATCGACTTAGCAGGACCTCAAGATGTACCATAAAGCTATGATAATCAAAGGAATATGGTTTTGATAAAAGAGAAGACACATTTATCAGTGGAAGAGAATAAAGAACCCAGAAATAGGCCCACACAAATATAGTCAACTAATCTTTGACAGTTCTTTGACAGAGCAAAGGCAGTTTAACAGAGAAAAGATAGCTTTTTCAAAAAATGGTGCTGGAACAACAGGACTTTCACATGCAAAAATAAATAAATAAATAAATAAATAAATAAATAAATAAATAAATAATTCTAGACAAAGACGTTATATCCCACAAAAATTAACTCAGAATGGATCATGGATATAAATGTAAAATGCAAAACTATAAAACTCCTAGAAGACAACTCAGAAGAAAAAACCTAGATAACTTTGGGTATACTGATGACTTTTTAGATAGATCACCAAAAGGATGATCTATGAAAGTAATAATTGATAAGCTGGACTCATTAAAATAAAAAAAAATCTGTTCTGTGAAAGACAGTATCAAGAGGATTAAGAAGAAAAGCCACAGACTGGGAAACATTATTTGCAAAACACACATTTGATAAAGGACTCTTATACAAAATATACAAAGAACTCTCAAAACTCAACAACAAGTAAACAACCTGATTTTAAAAATGGGCCAAAGCCTGGGTGCGGTGGCTCACACCTGTAATCCCAGCACTTTGGGAGGCCAAGGTGGGCAGATCACCTGAAGTCAGGAGTTTGAGACCAGCCTGGCTAACATGGCAAAACCCTGTCCCTACTAAAAATATAAAAAATTACCCAGCTGTGGCAGTACGTGCCTGTAGTCCCAGTTACTAGGGAGGCTGAGGCAGGAGAATCACTTGAACCTGGGAGGTGGAAGTTGCAGTGAGCCAAGATCATGCCACTGCACTCCAGCCTGGGGGACAGAGCGAAACTCTGTCTCAAAAAAAACAAAAAAGCCAAAGACCTTAACAGACAGTCACCTGTCTGAGTATTAACTCATAGGATCACAAGGTCCCACAATAGGCCGTCTGCAAGCTGAGGAGCAAGGACAGCCAGTTCAAGTTCCCAAACTGAAGAATTTGGAGTCTGATGTTTGAGGGCAGGAAGCACCCAGCAGGGGAGAAAGAGGTAGGCTGGCAGGCTAGGCCAGTCTAGGCTTTTCATGTTTTTCTGCCTGCTTTATATTCTAGCCATGCTAGCAGCTGATTAGATGGTACCCACCCAGATTAAGGGTGGGTCTGCCTTTATTCGCCCACTGACTCAAATATTAATCTCCTTTGGCAACACCCTCACAGACATACCCAGGATCAATACTTTGCATCCTTCAATCCAATGAAGTTGACACTAAATATTAACCATCACACTCACCAAAGAAGGTATATTAATGGCAAATAAGCATATGAAAAAGTGTTCAACTTCACACATCATCGGGGAATTACAAATTAAAACCACAATGAGATACCACTTATCAGAATGGACATTGTTGAGATATTTCAACAATGAGATTCACATTTATTAGAATGGCCATATATTCTAATATTGTTGTTCACACTAACAACAGCAAATGTTGGTGAGGACGTAGAGTGATGGGAACTCTTCTTCAATGCTGGTGGGAATGCAAAATGTACAGCCACCTTAAAAGGCAGTTAAGCAGTTTCTTATAAAATTAAACATACTCTTACCATACAATACAGCAATCACACTCCTTGGAATGTTCCCAAATGAGTTGAATACTCATGTCCATACAAAAATCTGCACTCAAACATTTATAGCAATTTTGTTCGTATTGGCTAAAATTTGGAAGCAACCAAGATGTTCTTCAGAAAGTGAATGGATAAATGAACTGTGGTACATCCAGAGTGGAATATTATTCAGCACTAAAAAGAAATGATCTATCAAGCCATAAAGATACATGGAAGAACCTTAAATGCACATTACTCAGTGAAAAAAGCCGATCTAAAAAGGCCACGTGCTGCAAAATTTCAACTATATGACACTCGGGAAAAGGTAAATCTGAGAGGAGACAATAAGAAAGGATCAGTGTTTGCTACAGTTTAGGAGGGGATGGAAAAATGAATGAGCAGAGCATAGAGGATTTTTAGGACATAACATTAGTTTGTATGATACTATAATGGTGGATACCTGTCATTATACATTTGCAAAAATACATACATTGTACAATATCAAGAGCGAAACCTAATAATGTAAACTATGGACTTGTGTGATGATGTGTCATTGTTGGTTCATCCATTGTAACAAATGAGTAACATTACCAGGACATATAAAAACAGTGACTATCAACATTATCTTTTTTACAACTGGTTTGATATTTTCTGATTATTATATATGACATTGGCATCATTAAGAAGTCTAGTGTCTGGAAAATAGCATTTATGTCCTGAATGTTGAACAGAAAGAACACATACATGAAGAAATGAATGCTCAAATCTCAGCAAAATGGTGAAATAAGGCAAAGTTCCCTAAAAGAGTGTTTTTTCCTTTGTTAATTACAAAGTACAAAGTTTTTACTTGGAAAAGCTCTTCGTTCTTCTTAATGAATGGGCAGCATTTATGACCTAGAGAGGCCCACTAAACTAGTCAAAGAATTACATGTGTTTGGATAGGTGTCTCTTAGCTACACTTAGATGACAGGGACTGTTTGTTACTCATTTTATATCTAGCATAGAACCACAAAGGGATGACTTTTGAACAGTAAGTGCTTAATAAGTATTTGCTGAGTGACTGTTAAAAACGGATCCATTTAGTTTCCTAGGTAACTATGGCAGAGGATCTCACTTTAAAGTTGGAATTTATACTTTATCCCAATCATTAGTGTTATGGACTAAATTGTGTCTCCATTCCCAAATTCATATGATGAAGGTCCAACTCCCAGTACCTCACAATGCACTTGAAGATAATATCTTTAGAGGTGATTAAGTTAAAATGAAGCCATTAAAATGCAGCCCTAACTCAGTATGACTAAATCCTTATAAGAAGAAGAAGAGACACCAGGGACACAGAGAAAGGGGATGTGAGGATACAGTGACAAGGCCAAAGAGAGAAGCTACAGAAGAAACCAAACCTGCTAACACCTTTATCTTAGACTTCCAGCCTCCAGCACTGTGGGAAAATAAATTTCTTTAATTTAAGCCACCTGGTCTGTGGTGTATTGTTATGGCAGGCCTGGCAGATTCAAGCCATTCCTTTGAATAAACAACAAGGAAATCCCATGTTTTAAATTTATGAATGTTTTATTTAACAAATATATAGATACTTCTTCAAATATCTTGGCAAACTGGCAAATAAGTATCTCTCAAAGGTAAAAGCTTCGTTTGATATCAATGTTTATTTTCCCCTCTCTTCTTTTACCATTAAAATTAACAATATACATACATCCTATTTATATCCCCCCAAACTTCCATGCTTATCTTGCAATCTGCTTTGGTCTGACTTGTGTTAATTTGGCACCTTTTATTCTAATTGATTGGAAGCTGAGGACCTCAAAGAGGGTTAGTCCCCAGTGCCTCCAACCATGTAATTTGATATTCAGTTCAATGTGTTCCTGCAGGGCCAGAATTGGTTTTATGCAGCAGTTTTCCCTTCGTGTATGTTATTTCACCCCCACCCCCACCCCAAACCATCTTAGATGACACCCTTTCAGGTTAGAACTAAGGAGGAAACAAACACTGATGGCATTTTATCAGCAGGCAGTGACCCAAGTATAACCACAACCCAAATTTCAGGGAGTGTACTTTTTTAACACTCCTACCGGAGGCATGATGATAATAAGTCAAGTCAGACACAGACATTTCCTTCAACTTTTGCCAGACGATGTGGCTCCTTGAAGCAGATTACAATGAAGTCTGTACAAAGCAAGAGGCATGTTGGAGCCTCTCTCCCAAAGGGAAAACAGTTTCCAGTCTGAGACTGACCCCTTAAGTGGAGTCAAAATCCAATGGTTGCATCATCCTTAAAGCATGCTATCTAACTTGAAGGCAGCCTATAGGGTGGCAGTTAGAGCACACATCCGTGGTTTCAAGTATTAGTTAATATTTTTTAAGAGGATGTGAGAGAGTTTTAAAGGGTAACAAAATCAAATTTTGAGAGGACTTTTACCCATATCATTTAGTTTTTTTTCCCCAGACAACATTTTTAGGTTGGTAAGCCTTGAACTCTGTGAGTTTTAAGATGACATACAAGACATTTTTAAAAATCATAATTACAATATGTTTGTTGCATTATTCACATCTATCTGATAAAAATATGCAAATTTAGTCAGAAAATTGAGAAAAGATTTAGATGCAGTTTCCAAAGACATTTCATTTCAACTTTTGTTCTTTCTTGGAATCCTGTTTATCACCAATCAGAGTTGTGTCTGGATTTGCGATAGGTTCTGGGGACTACAAAGGAACAGAAGTCATGGTTGAAGACTTTACTCCGTTCCCACAATATGCTAGGAGCTGTCAGGCATACAGCATTCTTCACAATCATAACCCCCTGTTAAGTACAATTTTCTGTTCAAAACAGATCAAAATAACTTTTTTTTTTTAACTATTGCCCTGTATCTTTGGCATCTCCATGAAGTTTTGTGGGTTCCTTGAGTTGGAACAGCGGTCCCCAACCTTTTTGGCACCAGGGACCGGTTTTGTGCAAGAATATTTTTCTGTAGACCAGTGTGGGGGGATCGTTTCAGGATGATTCAAATGCATTACATTTATCATGTATTTTATTTCCATTATTACATTGTAATATACAATGAAATAATTATACAACTCACCATAATGTAGAATCAGTGGGAGCCCTGAGTTTGTTTTCCTGCAGCTAGACAGTCCCATCTTGGGGTGATGGGAGACAGTGACAAATCATCACTGTCTTCCAGACACAAATTAGATTCTCATAAGGAGCGCACAACCTAGGTCCCAAACACAGTTCATAATAGGGTTTGGGTTCCTATGACAATCTAATGCTGCCATTAATCTGACAGGAGGCAGAGCTCAGGTGGTAATACAAGCAATGGGGAGTGGCTGTAAATATAGATGAAACTTGGCTTACTTTCCTGCCGTTCACCTCCAGCCATGCAGCCCAGTTACTAACAGCCCACAACTGATACTGGTCCATGGCCTGGAGGTTGAGGACCCCTGAGTTGGAGGATATTTGTATGCAGGAGTAAGAGCAATGGCTCAGATTTTCTAGGGTTGTTCTCTGTGATTTAAATGGTAACCAGATGCTCATGGGTCATGAATGTCAAGGGTGGTCTTTAGTGTTGTGAAGAAAGTCCTATAGATTTCTCACTGACTTGAGTTACTTATTTGTGCAATGAGACAGTGAAATTGATTTACCCCACAATGATTTCTTATGTGGTAACAGGAAGGTTAATGGTAGGAAACCAGTGGCCATGGTAAAATGATGCCCAATGACCAATTTAGGAGGGCAGCTACCTCAGAAGCCACCTCCATCCTTGAAATCTGACACTTTGCATGACTTACATGAGAAAATGCTGACTCTTTTAAATAGCCTTCTACTCATCAGGTCTCACTTTCACGCTGAAAACCTCTCGGTTTAGTCTAGAATCTAGGAATTCAGGGGTATATGGTAAGAGAAGGAAGTGCTGGAGCCTAAATGGAATTTCACAAGTGATGTCATTGCTGGGGAAGAGGAGGCTGAGAATCAGCCTACCAGCTGGTTCCTTAGTGGCCAAGAGATGTGAGGAACTGATGCAAGTTTTTAGATAAACCAGAACTAGTTCAGCAATGTCTAGTCTATTTTTTTGCCTTATTTTTGCCCTAGGCATTTGGACCTATAATAGTTTTAAAAAATGACAACCAGATGTAGTCCTTACACTTATGCTACGTACGATCTTGAGGGAGGGATGACAATAAAAATAAATAATTATATAGTTAAAAATAGTTGGGCAAAGATACAGATAAGAGAAGCTGACATATGTGGGTTACAATCAATGTATTTTCTCTTAAGAAGTAAAAAGTCCCCAGGACGCCTGTCTCCCCATATGGACTTAATTAACTTGGTTGATATTCAGACTTGGTTTGGGGCTTTTTCAGGGGTGGGAGGGGCAATTTTGGTGCCATGCAACATTCAGTATTTTGATTCCAGGAAAGAAAAGTGATAATGATCCATATTCCATTGTGTACTTTTTATATAATGCAAAGTTACCAAATGTGAACATTTTAATTGGGCTATTCTAAGCAGTACCATTGTTATAGGCCTTCTTGTCAAGATGAATCTTACATTAAAACATTTTTCCCAAGCAACCACAAAAACCCAGAATCATAAAAAATTTAAGAATTGCTAAAATACAAAGGACCTGTACCTCCTTACATTGTTTGTGTTTTGCATTTCACTCAGCTTGAGTAATGAAGCTAAATTTGGTTCGTTTCTTTTATACTTTGCCTGTCTCTAATGAGTTTCACTTTTGATTTTCCATGAGCTCACTGAATGATGTTGTTTTGGGGGCTTACATGGTCCTGGCATTTTTGTCTATATTCTCAACAAGCTTACGGTCATGGAAAGAAAACATTTCAGGGCATATGAGGGTTTGTAACGGCTTGGATACTTTGTCAGAGGACACTTAACTTTGGGGTTAAAAATACTTAAATAGGAAAACGAATGGAATTTTATGGAGCTTGGGTTTATCCTGAAATAAGAAAAGTCAAGCTTTATAGTCCATCGATATTTTTGCAGATGCTTAATAAATTTCACAATTATGCTGACTTTTGTTGAAGCACTATAATATAAATGGATATGTTACAGTCTTTAATTTTTAACTGTTGATGTGTGTTATAAATCCCGGTAATGTAGGCACTGTATATATTTAATAAACACAGCTTGGCTGCAACATATCCTTCTAATAAGCATAATGCGAGCTCAGTCTGTGCCAGCTTGGTTAAACCAACAGACGATTTTAGCAGGAACAAAATGTTTTCGGTTTTCAGAGAATTCTTCTGTTATTAATTGGTAATATGAATGAGAAATCACTCTGCACCTTGCTATATGTTCTGTTAAAACACTCATTTTAAATGAAATCTTTTAAGGTAAATAATTATTATTGAGTACAAAATGGCTGAATTGTATCATTTATGCCAAGTCTTTCTAATTATTTAGTATTTTTGAGTAAAAGGGTAAGACTGCTGCCTCTGGATAGGTGACAGAAGTGGAGATTAAGCTGGCATTATCAGTGGTTTATATTCAGCTGGAGGATTACCTCACTCCCTTGCCTCTTCGCTACGTTGGGTATGCTGCCTTGTGGCCATTCTGCTGTTCATTAGCACCTCTGCCAGAGGTGTGTGGGATGAGAAATCCTAGTCAGCCCCACTTTACTCCTTGTCAGCAATTCTGGTAAAAGAAGGAGCAGGGGACAAGATTGAAACTAATGGCCGAAATGAGGTTTGAGGATTACCTGTGGTTTTCATTAGCCCTCTTCACTGGTTAACAAGCTGAATCCAGAGCTGAATGCAGTATTTTTTTTATTCACCTGTATTTAGTCACTGATAAAAATTCTGGTTTGCTATTTATGCCATACTAATAAGCAGGATATAAGAAAAACTGAATATACTAAAGAACTATAACTTAGTTTTGAAAAAATGATGTTACTATATACACAGATAAGGGTGAGATTTTTAAACACACACACACACACACACACACACACACACTCTTTATAATCAATTCCTTGCAAAGTATCTCATCTTCTGTGGTGTTTTCTGTTATTTTTTTTTATACGAATGGTTATTAGCATAAGACACATTAGCCCGAGAGTGCCTTAGTCAATTGTTCCAAAATGAGACAAAGAAATTTAACACGGATTTAGTAATGGTTTCATGAAACGTGACTTTAAAATTGCAAGTGTTTGATGTCATTAAATAAACACAGCACTGGCCGGGCGCGGTGGCTCACGCCTGTAATCCCAGCACTTTGGGAGGCCCAGGCAGGTGGATCACGAGGTCAGTAGATCCAGACCAGCCTGACCAACATGGTGAAACCCTGTCTCCACTAAAAATACAAAAATTAGCCAGGCGTGGTGGCGCACGCCTGTAATCCCAGCTAGTCAGGAGACTGAGGCAGGAGAATTGCTTGAACCCAGGAGGCGGAGGTTGCAGTGAGCCGAGAACACGCCACTGCACTCCAGCCTGGGTGACAAAGCGAGACTCAAAAAAACAAAACACAAAAATCGTAGCACAGCACTTCAGTTGTAGAAATCAAGAATCAAGAGTATACAACTACATAAAAAAAAATTATCAGCTTTAACGTTGTGTGAATCGGTGCTTGAGATAAAATAGCAAGTGTCAGCATTATATGTGGGTTGACATAGGGCAGTATCTCAAAGAACTCAGGCAGATGCGAATGGAGAGAGCACCCTGGAAAGCTGTGTCAGATGACTCAGTGGCCTTGGTGAAAATCAATATAATGATGTTAAACACGTATGTGAAAAGTATGAATGAAATTATTTTGTAAAATATGTGAGTGGATACAGCAATATTCCCCAGTAATATATTTAATATAGTCAACTTTAATATGAAAGTATAACTAAATCAACAAAACACTGTAAGTAGACATTTGACAATTTTATCTACACTCCTAAGATCTTTATATATATTCAATTTGTCCAAAAATGACTTCAGGATTTTTATCAGAAATATCAAGGATGATCTTATATTCAGGGTTAGTCTTATGTCAGAGCATATATTAATTTTTTAAAACCAGGTTAAATTTGACTGTGCCAGTTTTAGCTACGAGAGGCAGACATATCTCTAGGCAGACAGGGATGGGTCCCCAGTGAAATCCAACCTTCAACCCAAAGATAGTTTAAAGCCTGAAAACTGAGCTGTGGTTCTGGATAGAGCCCACAGCTGGAGTGAGACTTACCCTCTCTCTCTCTCTCTCAGTTGGTTCCTTCTGGATGATGGCTTTTAACCAATTGAATGGTGCTTTTTCCAAAGCCTACCCATGGACCAATCAGCACGCACTCCCCCATTCTGAGCCAACAGAAACTCTGGACTCAGCCTCACAGAGGCCTACCTGCCTTCAGGCCGCTTCTCACAGCTGAGGGCAACCCGCTTTCAGGGTCCCCTCTCACTATTGAGAGCTTTCCTTCTGTCACTCAGTAAAATTCTTCTCTGCCTTACTCTCCAGTGTCTATGTACTTTATTCCTCTTGGTCGTGGTACAAGAACCTGGAACTCGCTGAGCTGTGGGTGGTGAGAACAAACGAGCTGTAACACGCCCCCTTTTTCTGAGCTGTGGGCAGCAGGTGCGAAGGGAGCTGTAACAGGCCCCCAGTTTACCACGGTACGGGCGGTGGGAGCGAAGAAAGCTATAACACGCCCCTGTTGGCCTAGCTGTGGGTGTGAAGAAGTGAAGCCACTGGGCGCCATTCCCTCCTGGCTGTCTTGCAGAACTACAAAAACTGCAACATTTCTTGGGGGCTGAGACCTCACCACTCCCTGGGTGAGAGCTGTGACACCCCTTGGGGCTCTGCGGTTGCCGCCATCTCTGAGGTTTCAAGCGCCACCACGTTCCCCTTGTCTAGACACTGGTGCCCAACACAAAATTTACTCGTGACACACCTGGTCCATCTGTGGGCTAAGCAGAGTCCCTTTTCTGCCGCGGGATCTGGGCTGGGACACGGGCTGAGTGCAGCCTGCTGGGCCGAGTGGGCAGAGCAAGCGTAGCAGGCCCGAGCAAGGCCTTAGGCAGAGGATATGGCAGGCGCAAAGATTTCTTGCTGGCAAACTGGCACCAAAAAAATCCTGTAACACTAGCAATCGAAACTATCATTAATTGTAGAGGGAAATATAGGATTAGCCCACTACCAAGGAAAAAGAACATTTGAAGAGAGTTTGATAAATTCAGCACAAATATAATACATTTTAACCATACCTGCCTCCAAAATAGTCTAGGCCATTTTATGGAATTCTATATGATTTAAACCTAGATTTTCATTGTTAGGAAAACTGAGATAGGAAAGTTTATTGAACGTCAAACTCAGTCTTTGAGACATAGGCTCCTTTGAAACTGTTCTTTGGGTGAATCAAAATCACTGCCAATGTACACATTAACATTTGTGAATTGACTAGAATGTTCATTTCATAGCATGTAACTGATGTTGCTGTTATTTTAGTCAGTTTTTTAAAATTAGGATTTAGGCAGCCAAGCATTACATGAGGGTAAGGGTGATTTAGTTTTCTGTATTAACATGGCAGCTTGCATCTTTTTCATGACATTTTTCTATAAGATATTGGTATTGAGAACACGTTTTGCTTTTGTTTTTAATTCATGCATCAAAAGAGGTATCCTGGCTGGCCTGCTTGAGCCCAGGAATTTGAAACCAGCCAGGGCAACATAGTGAGACTCTGTCTCTACAAAAAAGA
Source organism: Homo sapiens (assembly GCF_000001405.40). NCBI lineage: Eukaryota > Metazoa > Chordata > Mammalia > Primates > Hominidae > Homo > Homo sapiens. The sequence goes on along the minus strand of NC_000015.10, from coordinate 36,327,709 downwards.
AATAAAAATTAGATGGGCGTGGTGGCATGTGCCTGTGGTCCCAACTACTTGGGGGGCTGAGGCAAGAGGATGGCTTGAGCCTGGGAGGTCAAGGCTTCAGTGAGCCATGATTGTGTCACTGCACTCCAGCCTGGGTGACAGAGTGAGGCCCTGTCTCAAAAAATATAAATAAATAAATAAGAGGGACATCGTGAGCCACAGAATTTCAACTTTGCAACAATTCAGTAAGTAGAATCTAGTCTATGACTCTCCTTGTTTCCTTTAACCTTATATGAGCATAACAGTGCTCTGAGTCTCCATCTTCTATGTGGAATTAGCCTGCGCAATCTGTGAAAAAATATCTCCCTTTTCATTTAGGTGACCTTGATGATAGTCCACAAGAAAGGAACTTCTGGAGCTTTCCCTGACCAATCTGTGAGAACCTGCAGACTGGAGGCTCTAGAACCAGGCTCTAGAACCTATTGTCTAGGCCTCCCTAGAATCCCCCAACCTAAAACCAAAGCTTAGTCCAGAAAACTAACAAATGTCAAGTACCATCTTTCCTGGACGAGCCAGGAACCTGTTATTTTCCTTAAGGTGACTTCTTAAAATATTTGAATAGTGTTTTTGTATTGCTGTTTTTGTATTTTGGGAATAGTCTGGAAATTGGTACTGAAATAGGTGATTGAAGCCTGGGGATCCCCTGGAAGCTGGAGAATTATGGGTTAATATTTGGTAATATCATGAATTTATATTTTATTTATTATTTGACAAACGCTTGGGAAAAGACCAGAGTTCAAATGTTACCTTAGAGAGTGTTTAGTATAAGCAGTGCAAGTTAGCCACTAGCTCATTCCACATGTCATGAATATGGGCCTGATGTATGTTATACATCAATAAAAATTATTTTATTTTTCTTTGGATTGTCAGGCATCTTACAGCAAAATAACATGGTGGAAGGATAAGAGAGTTGAACAAGCAGCATATGAAGTGAGGTTATTTGGGAATTCCACTGCTTTGGAGAAGTGGGGACTTAGCTGAGGCTAACGACCTATCTTCTGCACAGCACTGAGTGAAGCCAGCTTCATGTAATGGGGAATGATGTGGGAGAATACTCAAATACATGCAGCAGTGGATGTGGCACAGATGGCTAAGATGAGGAACACTATGAAGGCCATACCTTCATTATATGTGTAGAAATGCTCATCCTGTTCTAGCCTGGCCACCCAGAGCAGACAGGCATGAAAGTGGAGGGCAGGGACCCACTGTCTTTGAGTTGGTCACTCTGAACTGACCAAGTCCTTGTGGAGAGTGAGCCCTCGGTGAAAATGAATTTGGCATTATATGTCAGACTGCTTATTCTAGCTGAAGAGAGAGAACAGCAGTGCGGAAGAATCAACCTGAGATCTACACAGATTCACAAGTTTATTAAGTCTATACAGTTTCACAAGTTTATTAATATTATTATTGTAAATCGACATTGTCCTGTCAATTCCTGTCTGTGGCATACTTACAAGTTGTTAAATGATATATAATACCTTTGAGAGATGGGATGAGATGAATGAAAGTTATTCGTTTCACTTACAGTTTTAAACAGGGAAATGAAGCACAGGCAGAAAACTATTTATGAAAGCTCCCCACAATGTCTCTGAGTAGCAGAGCTACCAAACCTGTTGTCTTCCTAGTAGAGCAAGTGAGACCTAGGCAGACCAATTACACTGGATCAAGGATAGCAACCTTCTCCCTTGGTCTCTTTATGGTGACCATTTGGAAATCATGCCTGGTCTATCTATTGAGTTTTTATGAATTAAACCATTATATTGTTCAGATTAAAAAAATTTAGTCTTGGTGTTATTAAGCAGACAACAATATTGTTGAAATATAGAGCTACAGGATGTGTGTGAAGAATAGGGTAGGCAAAAGAGTAGTAAGAGAATAAGGAGGAATAATGGCAATCAACATAGCGGATCTCTAAGAAACTGTTAATTAGAGATATGATATGGTCTATTAGTTGTATAAGTTTTCAATTGCTGCTTTAACAAATTGCTTCACACTTGTTGACTTAAAACAACAAAAATTTATTATCTTACATTTTTATGGGTCAGAGATCCAATACAGGTCTCACTGGGCTATAATCAACATGTTGGCAGAGCTATGTTTGTTTCAGGAGGCACGAGGGCAGAGTTCCTTTCCTTGCTGTTTCCAGCTTCTAGAGGCTGCCCACTTTCTTCGACTCATGACCCCTTCATCTTCAAAGCCAGCAACATCCCACCTCTTTGACTCTTCTTTCATCATCATGCTCTTTGACCACAACTGGGAGAAATTCTATGCTTAATGGCTCATTTGATTACTTTGGGCATGCCTGAATAATCCAGGATAATCTCCCTAGCTCAAAATCTGTAATCTTAATCACTTCTGCAAAGTCCCTTTTTTCATGGAAGGGAACCAAATCATGGTTTCTGAAAATTAGGACATGAACATATTTGGGGAGCTATTATTCTGCCTAACTCATTAATATATTCTGCTCTTCCATCCCCACAAATTATCTTCCTTTTGCTTAGTCATAGAACTTTATCTTAAGGTTTTTATCAGTTCAATCTTTCCTCACTTTTTTTGTTCATTCACCCATTTGTCTATTTCTCTACTTCTTCATTATTTACATATGTATGAAATATTTATTTAACATCCCTTCTGTGTCAGATTACTCTCTAATCTCTTGGAAAAAATATAGGGAAGGCAATTGTTCCATGACTATTTCAAAAATATGTAGACAACTTCATGCTTGTTAAATAGGAAGTACTAAGTAGAAGACTGAACCCTATTGTCAGAGTAAGTATATGGAATAATGTTGGTCCTGAATGCTCTGTGACATTCATGGGTTAATTTGTTCGATAAAAGTACTGTGATAGAGACTGTTAGGTGTACCCCCAAGTCTATTCAGCCTAGGGCTGACCAAAGAGATTGTGTCTAAATTTACTAAGTTAGGTTCATATGAATTTATTAAGTAAGGGTTGGCCGTCTATAGCCCATGGGCCAAATCTAGCCTCCTGTTTTTATAAATAAAGTTTTATTGGAATACGGCCATACACATTCATTTACATAATTTTTTTTTGCAGCTCTCATGCTATAATGGTAGAGTTAGGTATTTGTGACAGAATCTGTATGGCATAAAAAGCAGAAAATACTTAATTATCTGACCATTTTACGGAGTACATTTGTCAACCTCTGGTCTGAGCCAACAGGAAACTTGCAGTATCTGTTAAGGTGCTTTCAGTATTAAGTAACAGAATGTTTAACTAATAGTGGTTAAATAATGAAGAAAGGTATTATAGCATGAAAAGTAAGTGTAAGGTTTCTTCATTACATGCCTCAAAGAAATGATCAAAGACCCAGGTCCATTCAGCCTTTCTTCTCTGCCACATTGGCAGGTTGGCTCATCTATTCATGGTCCTAGGCTGGCTCTTACCTTCCCAGGCATCACACGCTCATGTACCTCATCACAGGCAGAGGAATGGGGCCCTTCCTTCACAGGTCACTCCTTATCAAGGAAGGATGGTTTTCTTATACCTCCACATTGACCCTGGAGGAAACTTGTTTTTTTTTCCTTCACTTTTCACTAGAGAGAATTGCATCACATACTCATGGCTAATTACTGGCAAGGAGGGCAGAATGACTGTGACTGACTTGGGCTATCCAAAATTTATTTTTTGGAACTGAGAGAGGTCCTTTCCCCAGCACGTGGCTGCTGGGAAGAACGGCCATACAAAACTGCCACCCTGCTGGGAAGAAAATGATAGAAAATGGCTATGTGGACAAGTGTCTGTCCTCCTTGTGCTAGCATCTGTGTGCCAAATCTAATGCCTTTCATCTCAGATCTGCCCATGTTGACTCATTGCGTCTACTCCACTTACATTTTATGCTGCCTGACATTTTCATGAGTAAAGTACCCAACTTTTGAATCAAGAAACCAGTTTTGGATTTCTGCCCATGTTTCTCTCCTGACCAAAACCTCTTATTTCTAGCACAGTGGTTGAATGAGATGCTGTGGAACTATATTAGGAGTCAAACTGACCACAATTTGTATTTCAGGTATGCCAATTACTTACTATGCCACAGGACTTTTCCTCTTTAAAAGGAATATAATAATAGATCCCATTTCACAAGTTATTATAAGGGTAAAATGAAATGATTTAAATAAAGCATTTAACACAGTTCACATAGAAGTGTTCAGTGAATGTTGTGTTTTACAATTATCCCACTCCCATCATTGCACAGGATGTTCATAGTAGTACTTCCCTGAGATAAGCCTGAAATAGGACATGAGAATAATAAATTAATGGTTTTCACTATTCACACAAACCTCAATCAACTTTTTGAATGAAAAGATAAACTCTAAGGTCTGAGATTGTCATGCTGACATTCTGAATTTTGGGATGCTGGCTAAGAACAGGAGGGCTATAAACACATGCAAACTGGTTTGGATTGAACTGTGCAAACCAATTATTGGTAAGTTTGTTGATATTATATTTAAACCAAAGAAAGTATTTTATGTTACTTAAAAGACAATGCCTTGGGAAACAAACACTTAGACTGAAGGGGTAGGCCATAGCATTTAAGACATCACCAGGTTTGACCTTACAAATCTAGCCCTTATATTTTCTTAATCTCCTGCTGGTTTTACATTCTAAGTGTTTCTCAGATTTGTCTCTCCTCTATCTCTACTACCACGATCCTTATCTGACATCTGGACTACTGCAATATTCTTCTTAAAGGTCTTCCTGCTTTTTCATATCCAACCTCTCTAACAGCGCCAGATTAAAATACAAAAGGAGCAAAGTGATTAGATGGCTCTTCCCTTTAAAAATATAAAATGAGAACTTCTGCTTCTGGACATGGTAAAGTAACTGATATTAGACTTACCATGTCTCTTCTAAAGAACAGTAGGCCTGGGCAAAAAGCATATGAGGTAACTGTTCTCAAGCATCTAACAACAGGCTGCATAGAACCACGGTCCTTGAAAGAAGGGACATTCATAAGGCAAACCGCATTTACCTCACCTTCCTGCTAAGAACATCTTTCCCAATGGTGGGAGGTAGAGTCCAAGCACAGTTTAGCTGATGAAAAGGCAGAGATCAAAATTTAGAGACGCTGAAGTGACTAGATTTTAAAGCAAAAGGTATTTGAGAGGAGAGCCCTGTGTAAAGGGAGGGCCCATAAGTCAGCTTGGGAAATTACTTTGAGTTGTTTCCCAAGTGCCAGGGTGTGTATACATAGGGCAAGACTTTCTGAAGTCTAGAGAAGATGGCTTGCTCTGGGGCTGAGAGGTGAGCAAAGCTATCAGAGGTCATGCAAGGCTGAAACATGGTGGGTTTCTGGCCCACCAAAAGTGAAAAGACCTTTCTGGGTACCTCTGGCATTACATGGAGGCATGAGAAAGGCCATGCCTAAGCCATAAATAGCGTGCACTAGAGAAAGAACCATATTCTAGGACTAAAGCAAAATCTAAAACAGAGTAGTCCTCACTAAGCATAAACAGTTTAATAAGGTTAAGAAGATCTTCCAGTAATTTAATTGCCTTGCTGAAAATAAATACAGCAGAAAACATAATCTATGCTCTCTACAACGTAAATTTAAAAATTACCAGACATGCAAACAAGCAGGAAAATATGACTGATGATCAAGTAACAAAAATTAGTCACTAGGAGCAGAGACTGGAATGACCCAGATGTTGGAATTAGCAAACATTGCCTTTAAAGCAACCATTATAAGTATGTTCAAAGATTTGAAGGAAAAGAAGACAGAATGAGTGAATAGATGGGGAATCTAAGCAGAAAAAGGTAATCTATAAAAAAAAAACCACATGGAAATCCTAGAACTCAGAAAGACAATATCTGAAATGAGAAATTCACATTACCAGTATATTGTATATTATAGGAAAAATCGCTAGCAAACCTGAAGAGAGATCATTTGTAATAATCAAATATGAAGAACAGAGTAAAAATAGACTGAAAATAAATGATCAGAGGCTCAGTGACTTGTGGGACAATATCAAGTGGTCTCAGTTATTTGTAATTGGAGTTTATAAGAGGAAAAGGAAAATAGAACAAAAATATTTGAAGAAATAATGGCTGAGAATTTCACACTTTGGTGAAATAATCAAAGTACAGTTTTAAGAAGATCAGTAATCCCCAGGAAAAACATATACAAAAAAAACCTAGGTACATTACAGTCGAAGTGTTTAATAATAAAAATTAAAAGCTATCTTAATAATAGAAAAAAGAGCATTGCATACAAGGAAATGACAATATACAAATTATGGCTGACCTTTCATCAGAAACCAGGAAGCTTACAAGACAATTGAAAAATACTTATAATGTGCCAAAAGAAAATAAAACACTCAGTCCAGAGTTTAACATCCAGAAAACATTCTTCAAAAATGAAGGCAAATTAAGGTACAGAAAAACAAAGCTTGCATATTCTCACTTATTTGTGGGAGCTAAAAAAATTAAAGCAATTGAACTCAGGGAGATAGAGAGTAGAATGATGGTTACCAGAGGCTGGGAAGGGTAGTGGGGGTTGGGGGGAAGGAGAAAGAGGATGATGGTTAATGGGCACAAAAGTTTAGTTAGCTAGAATGAATAAGATCCCTTATTTGATAGCACAACAGAATTACTACAGTCAAGAATAATTTATTGTACATTTAAAAATAACTAAAATATAATAATTGGATTATTTATAACACAAAGAAGTAATAAATGCTTGAGGTGATAGATACCCCATTTATCCTGATGTGATTATTATGCATTACATGCCTGTATCAAAATATCTCATGTACCCCATAAATGTATATATCTACTATATACTTACAAAAATTAAAAATAAAAAAAGAAGGCAAATTAAAGGCAGTTTGGGTAAAAAAAAATCTGAGAGAATTCTTTGCCAGAAGACTGGGACTATAAGATATGCTAAAGAAAGTTCTTTAGAAATGATACTGAATGGAAAATCAGAGGTACAGCAAGAAATGAAAAGAACTAGAAATGATAAATATGTGGATAAGTGTGAAACTTTCTACTTCCCTTAGAAATTTTGAAAGACTATGGTCTGTTTAATGCAACAGTAATAACATTTTATTGTACATTTTAAACACATTTAGAAGTAAAATATAAGCAACAAGAATACTCATGATGAGGGATGACTATATGGACATTATATTATTTATAATGTTATAAGATTCCTGTATTTTATGTGAAGTGATACAATATTAGTTCAAAGTGGACTTTGATAAGTTATGCATTTCGATAACTAGACTAGTAGTACTAAAACAGTAATACACAGAGGTATACAGAAAAGTCTAAGAAGGAAATAGAATGGCAAACTGAAAAATATTATATTGACACCAAAGAAGTAAAGAAAAGAGGAACAAATATCCGATGGGCTAAATAGAAAACAAGAAACAAGATGGTACATTTAAACTCACTCATATCGTAACTATATTAATGGAAATATACTAAATAATATGAAAATTCAGAGACTTTCTGACTGGATAAAAACAAGATTTAATCACATTTAGAGAGCTATATCTTAATATCAAAGCATTAGAAATTGAAAGTTAATGTATGGAAAATATATTATGCAAAGAGTAAGTACAAGGAAGCTGGTGTGGCTATGTCGATATGAGATTAAGTAGTCTTTTCTTTTTCTTTTCTTTTCTTTTTTTTTTTTTTTTTTGAAACAGAGTCTTGTTCTGTCACCCAGGCTGGAGTGCAGTGGCATGAACTTGGCTCACTGCAACCCCCTTCTCCAGGGTTCAAGTGATTCTCCTGCCTCAGCCTCCCAAGTAGCTGGGACCACAGGCATGCACCACCATGCCAGGCTAATTTTTTAATTTTTAGTAGAGACAGGGTTTCACCATGTTGGCCAGGCTGGTCTCGAACTCCTGATCTCAGGTGATCCGCCAGCCTCAGTCTCCCAAAGTGTTGAGATTATGGGCGTGAGCCACCGCACCCGGCTAGATTAAGTAGTCTTTTAAGGCATAAGGATTGTCAGAGGCAAGGAGGTTTACAAGAGAAAAAGAGGGGATATTTCGTAATGAGGAAGGGTGCAATTAATTAGGAAGACACAACAATCATAAATGCATATGCATCAAATAATAGATTCTCAAAATGTGTAGGCAAAATTTACATAATAGAAAGAAGAAACAGATAAATTTACGATAATAATGGGAGGTATTAACCTTTTTTCAGTAATTGGCAGAAAAAGTAGGCAAAAAAATTATTGAGACAATAGATTTCAGTAACACTAGCAACCAAGTTGACCTAACAATTTATAGAACACTAGTTTAATAACTACAGGATTACACATTCTTCTCAAATAATCATTGATTATTTAAAGAGATACACCATATAAATGGGATAAAAGTAAGTTTCAACTCATTTTAAAAGATTAAATTTTATAGATAATGTCCTCTAGAATTAAATTAGAAATCAATAGCAATAACAAATCTAGAAATACTTTAGGTATTTGGAAAGTAAAGAATATTTTCTGTGTAACCAATGGGTTACAGAATAAATTGCAAGGGAAATTAGAAGATATTTTGAGCAATAATAGTTACAATTTATCATCCAAACACTTACGTGATGCAGCTAAGACAGTGCTTGGAGAAAAATTTATAGTTTTTTATTAGAAAAGATAGTACATTTTAAATAAATGACCTAAGCTGCCTTCTTAAACTAGATAAAGAGTACATTAAATGCCAAGTTAAGTAGAAGGAAAGAAATAACAAAGATAGAAGCAGAACAAGTGAAATAAAAATTAAATGAACAACAGAGAAATGAATAAAGCAAAATGTGAATTCTTTGAAAATATTAATAAAGCTAATAAACTTCTAGCAAGACTGTTTAAGGAAAAACACTAGAGAAATAAATATGACTGAAAGAAGGAACATCATTATATATGATCTAGATATTAAAAGGATAGTAAGATAATATGATGAATAACTTATTTCAATACTGTCAACAATTTATATGAAAGAGACAAATTCCTTAAAAAATAATTTACCAACATTGGCATAAAAGGAAATATAGAATTAAAATAGAACTACATTTATTAAATAAATATATAATGCATATATTAAATGAATTAAATTTATAATTAAAACAACTTTTCCATAAAGAAAATCTCAGGCTCAGATAATTTTCATGTTGAAATTTATGAAATATTTAGTAAAGAAAAAAGCCAGCATTACACAAATTCTTTCAGAAGATAGAGGAAGGAACACTTTCCAATTCATTTTATGAGGCTAACATAACCTGGATACCAAAATCTGACAAAAACATTGTCCTCTTCTCCGCAATTAAAAAATAACAACAACAACAGCAAACATTTTTTTAAAACCCCTAGGAAGCTAGGCATAAAAGAAAATTCCTTCAATCTGATAAACAGCATTTATGTATAGCTATGCTCTATAGCTAACATCAGTTTTAGTGGTGAAATATTGAACATTTTCCCAAGATTGGAGAAAGGCAAAATTGCCTGCATCCACCGCTTCTATTTAATATTGCACTTGCAATAAGGCAATATAAAGCAATCAAAGCAATAAAAATTAGAAAGGAAAAGCAAAACCGTCTGTATTTGCACACTGTGTGAAAGTGTGCACATATGATATTTCTATGACACATAAAAACGCTAAGGAATCTACAAGGCAATTACTAGCCATGGCAAGTACAAATCTGATAAGTCAAATTTGCAGGATACAAACTCAAAATACAAATAAATATTAGTTGTAGTTTTATATATTTGATGAAAACAAATTAAATTAAATTAAAAATTAAATTTAAAATTTCAAATACAATTTAAATAGTAAAAACAAGACAAACTTCATGGATAAGTATAACAAAGTATGTGCAAGAATGCAGCACCAAAAAGTATAAACCATATTAAAAAAATCATGGAAGACTTAATAAATGAAGAGCTGTTCATGGATTGGAAGACTCAAGCATGTTAAAATGTGAGTTCTGCTCAAATGATCTACAGATTCAATGATATAAAAATGATCTGTGTTGTAGAAATAGCTTAGTTAATTCTAAATATATATGGAAACAAAAAATAATAGTCAATATAATCCTGAAAAAGAGTACGTTTAGAGAATTCATGCTACATTTCTTAAAGACTTACTACCAAGCTACTTGTAACCAGGATATTATTATTTCTCTTTAATTGCATATTATGAAAACATCAACATATATAAAAGATACTGAATAGCATAATAATGTAACACTCATGAACCCACCTTTCAGTTTTAACAATTATCCACTTACATCAACTATTGTTGATATAACTCTAAACTTTGACTTTACTTCAATTGATTATTTCGTCTTAATTTGCTATCCTAAAACATCAAAATTGAATTTTCCCCTTATCTCATATGTAGTTACTCTGTGGTATAGCTCATGTAGGAAAGACAGAATCAATTGTTTATTTCCCCGCTAGTTTATCAATTGTTTAAATGAAGAGGTGGAACCCTAGCATCTTCCAGAGTTGACTAATTTTTATCTAAGAATTATCAAAGGTGCCTGGGTTTAACATACTTAATGCTTCACAGTGCTTTGCAGATATATCTTTATTGATGCTCAGTTGTTCTATCTTGGATTAAAATGGGTTTATTCAAGTTGGTTGCTGAGTATCCTTGATAGCTTTCTTGCTTGTGCTGGGATAATCTTGTATATTTCTTGTCTCACATCTGGAATTAGCAACCACTTAAAATATTATTTTTTCCTTCTTATAGAATATGGTAATGGGAGGGAAAATCTGAGTATTGGGGTGCTCATTGCTGGTGGGTTGATCTTATCATAGACATTTGCTGTGTAGAAAATGTGTGTGTGTGTGTGTGGGTGTTGCTTTGTGTGTGCTGTGTGTGTGTGTATGTGTTATAAATAAAATAAATATGTCATTGACTTTTACCAATTCATTTTCAGGATATCAAAGTTTGTTACCTAACATATTAATCCCATATATAAAAGTAAATCATGATATTTTAGATTGGGGTACAATTTTTTATATGAATTGTAATGCTTTTAATTTTGACATCAATAATAAATGAAGAGGGTGCCATTTTTATATGTCTCTTAGGTAGAATGTCTTGGGTAGAACGAATTTCTCTGGATCACTTAATGGGCCAAACACCAATCAGTTCATGTATTTTAAGTTCCCATTATTGTTTTGTGCTAAGCAATGGAAAAAATACGGAAAATACTGGATTGATTGATTGAGAATTCATTATTTTGATCACTATTCTGCTACTTGGAAATATTTGCATGATCCAGAGTGTTCAGTAGGTTACCTTCCGCAGTTACCTTTCTCAGTAGTTTCCTCTGGAAAATAACATTTTCTTGATCATATTTAAACGAGTGTGCAAACATAGTTTCAAGACAAATTTCTTTTTTTCTACCAACTCTTTTTTCTACAAGGTTTCTCCCACCCCCAGACACCCTCATAAAGAAATTCTGTAGCCGCCATTGTCAAATGATAATAGTTAAATGGGGAACCGATTTGCTAATAACAAGACAAGAGGAAAGTAGAACTATGTTCCAGGGTGTTTGCTAAGTACTTTCACATGAAATAATAATAATACCCATACGTAAGCAGACTTACTGAAATTCACATTATTTGAAACACTTTCCATATATTAACACCTGACCCCATAACCATCATTTTCATTGTACAGATAAAGAGACTGAAAAACAAAGAAGTGAATCAAGTTGCCCGGCTCAGGTTCCATACTCTTTACCGACCTGGACCACCTCTCAGCATGTTATCTAATCTTATTGGACATCCAGAATAATTTTTTTGGTGTAGATATCACTGTCCCCATTTTACAGATAGTTAAACTGAGGCTCAGGGAGATTAAATGATGTAAGTACACAAAACTTGAAAATTTGGACCTAAGATTTCTAAATCAAAAACCTGTGTCCTCTGTTTTAGATACAAGTGAACAGAGTAATTATTTAGATAAAGTAGCTTATTAGTAATATATAATTTGTCTGTTTTTATTTTATGTAACAGAATATTAAAATGTTATAAATTACAGAAGTATTAAATATAGAGTTGTGTATTAAAATGTATTTGGCAACTTGATTAATTAAAGAAATAAGTAGAGGCAAGAATTCGGATGTCAGTGGTTTGTTTTTATACAGGTCAGTGAGAGTGTATTTGCCTCTTTTCTCTTAAAATAAATAAATTAATAAAATGATGCACTTTGGTGTGCCATATTTTATTCTTTGCTAGCAAATTTTTTACTTTATTTTATTTTATTATTTTATTTTCTTGAGATGGAGTCTCGTTCTGTCACCCAGGCTGGATTGCAGTGGCACGATCTCAGCTCACTGAAACCTCTGCCTCCTGGGTTTAAGTGATTCCCCTGCCTCGGCCTCTTGAATAGCTGGCACTACAGGCGCGTGGCACCATGCCTGGCTATTTTTTGTATTTTTACTAAAGACGGGGTTTCACCATGTTGGCCAGGCTGGTCTCAATCCCCTGACCTCAGGTGATCTGCCCACCTTGGCCTTCCAAAGTACTGGGATTACAGGCGTGAGCCACGTGCGCAGTCGCAAATTATTTTAAAAATTAATATATAAGAAAAATGGAACTGGCTAGTTTATTTTTATTCAAAAGGAAAACAAAAATCCTCCTGGTATAAAGAATGCCTGGATAAAAATATCCCCAGATTATCCCAATGAAAATCTTCTTTCTTGCAAACAGACTCAGATGGGAAAAGCTTAGAACTAGTTGGAATTAGGTGACCACATTAGATAAAATGGAAGTAAAATTTGAAGGATCATTTACAGGCATTGACTCTTCATGTGTTTGGCTCTGCCAAATGCATCCCCAATCAAGAGACTCAGCCCTCCAAAAAATTCATGACATGCTGATGTGTATATGGGTCATTTATTGACTGTAATCATAGGACTTGTGTTACTCTGTTGAAATTCAATATTGAATATATTGATGTTAAAAAATCTGCAGTCTTGGTTTATTGGCCTTATCATATTTATTTTTTAAAACCTTAGAGTCTTCATTAATAACTGTAATTAAGGAGAAAAATTATAATACCAACTTTGTTTTCCAGCTATTTTTCATAGTAAACAAAACAGAGGTACACCAAAGACATGTAAAAAGCGATTGAACTGCATTTTAAGGAGAGGCTTGATATTTCATAAATGTCTTTAATAAAATACATCTGTAAAATGTGAAATTATTTTATAATTCTAGGCACAGATCATACAATCTTTGAGAGTAAAAGGATGGATCAAGACCACAGGAAAGAAGGGATGAAGCTGTGGAGAGTGAGGATGAGGAACATTGCAGATGACTGGAGGCCAGCTCCCTGACCTTCCCCTACTGCCACTGCTGCAGGCCCTGGTCAGGGGAAGTAAAACTGACACTAGCTGTTTATCATGCTTTAAGACCAGAAAGTAAAATGAAAACCATTACCACCTCTCAGGATGCAAGAAGGCACAAGAAAGGACTAAACCAGTTGAAGATGTTATCTCAATGGAAGAAGGAATCCTAATTAAATTGAAGTCTTAACAAAAAGACGGTCTATTTCACAAGACTGATAGAGACATATACTTGATGAGTCAACTTGGTCTTTTCAAGGCTTTACTCTGGCTTCTCTTCTATTTATGTGTACGATTAGAAGGATAAACAGCCTATAAGAGCTTGCTATCTACCAAATCCAACCATGCAGTCTTAAAAATTACTTCTGGGTTTACAGATAATTCTTGTATCAAATAAGTTGATATGAGGCACCAAGAATTAGTAGGATTGGACTAGAGTCAAACCCACTGCACTTATCAAGGCTTTACCAGACCCTACTGTGTCCTTTATGTGTTGAAGTCTAAGGATATCTAGAAACATATGGCATGATCACTGCCCTCAGGGAGCTGACAGCATTGTATGCTAGCAAGAGGCAAAAACAACAAAAGAGAATGTAACTTATAACTGACTGAAAGACCAATGTGTCATTTTGGAAGCAGAGAAGCCTGATTTTGGGCAAACTTTTTAATGAGAACTTGAGTTTTCGTATCTGTAAGGTGAAAATAAGACGATCAACTTATGGCTGAAATGGCAAAGATACATTTCCTATGAGACGGCCTTGTATATAATAAGCATTCAACACATAAGAACAGTGATGATAATGCTAATAATGATATAATGATGCCCCTAAGTGACAGATAGAAAATAATTGGACTATTAGGGATATCTCTACAAGCTGGAGTGGTTGAGCAAGGCACCTTAGGGTTAATGGGATCAGAACCCAGTGGTTCTGGGCCCTGAAGTATGAACAAAGGTGAGTGAGGCAAAAATGTGACCTGTGTAAGGATCACTAAGGGAACCATCCTTAGACCCTTAGAGTCACAGGAAGTTTATACTTTGGCCTTGGGAGCAGGTAATGATACTTAAATGAACACATTTGTCCATAGTCTATGAATGACTCAGCCATGAGCCTCAGTGCTTATGATTACTGTGGAATTGGTGCCAGCTTGGCCTCATCAAGAATGCTAAATGTAATGTAATTTTAATGACTTCCATTGTATTCGAGGCTTCCTTGCTAAGATCCAGCATCACATTGCACATTTAAACTACCTGGGTATACTAATGAAGATTAATTGTTCATTGATTAAGGAAGGATGAATCACCCTATTACTGATGTGAACTTTCCTTCCTGAAGTAAAAGTGTATTGAGCTTCAAAATATTGGCTCAGATATGGTGAAAGGCTCTATTTAATTGTCTTCCATTTTATTTTACCCTGATGATAATGGTAACAAAATACTTATTCCTCTTGAAAAAAAATCAAATGGAAGTTTTATTGGTTTTTTCCAAAAATATACAAAAGTCCACACACAGTGATTGAGTATAGTAGAGGGTTTTATTAACACCAGTTTCCCAAAAATTGAATGAACTTGTTCCTATGAATCAACCCCTGATAATAAGTGTTATCATTTAGGATTGCATTAAGCTGCATGTAAACAGAATCCTAAACACAGTAGCTTAGTCAAATTAGGGGTTAATTTTTTGTACCTAAGAGGGAGACTGGAGAACTCAAGGAGGTGGTTTTTTTTTTTTTTTTTTCTCCCTCCAATTTCATTGATCTGAGTGTGTGATATCTGGCATCTTGGTTGGAGGTTGGCTGCTGTACCAATGTGCACTATGTCTGCATTTCCAGGCAGGTAGAAAGGGAAGAGCAGAGAGCCAAAATGCCTGTACCATCTGAATCAGTCTATTTTTTGTAGGCAAAAATGGAAGGCAATGTCTTTTTCTAGAGTATAATATATACCCAACATATATATCCAACATACTTCTGTTCATATATTTTTGGCTGGATCCATGACTCATAGCTATCCATTGTTTCTCAAAAACCTAGGAAACCTGATTGTCTTTTAGTTGAGAACATTGCTTTCCTAAACAGAATCGGAGTTCATTTAGCAAGGAAAAAGGAGGAGATGGCCTATGTTGATTGGCATAGTCAATGGAATGGGTTTCCTTGCTAGGCTTCTCCTTGAGGGGAAGACTCTAGGAACATGACCATGACATATTAGAACTCCCTGCAGCATTATCAGAAAAGCAGTGGTAAGGAAAGTGGCAACCACATGATTTCCAAACCTTAGAATACCTGACTGGGGCTGGAGAACTCCTGACCTTCAAGTTCAGCTCTGCTTCTCTCAGGTTTCGACAGCTTCTCTGTTGTCCCCAGGTAGATTTTCTGCTTTCATAGTAGATCCTTCTTTATTTTAGCAGTATGGTCTGATGGATGCACGCGTGCTATAGACATGCAGTCTACATGGCAGTAAGGCACCACATTAAAAAGTACAGCATCTAGAGGTAGAATACCTACATCCAAATTGTAGCTCTGTCACTAATGTAGCTATGTGATCCTGAGCAAGTTGCTTAATCTTCCTTTGCCTCAGTCTTCCTATCTATCAAATGGTAACAATATCCTTCTTCATAGGGTTTTCCTGGAGATTAAATGAGTTAATATATTTATAGTATTAAAAATAGCACCCATCACATAGTAAACACTCAGTAAGCATTAGCTGTTATTTAATTCAACAAACTTTAAGATAGATATATAAAATAAAAATGATATGAAATCTAACCTTTTGAGAGTTTAATTTGGGAAGACAGATAATACAAAAATACTTGAGAACAATTTTAAGACAGATTTTAAGGAATTGCATGGTGGGGTAGTAAACTATGAGGCCCTTTTTTTGCCTCTGCGTTATTATTTATCTTGTTAGATGAACGTGAAACTCTGAGTTTGGGCACTGAATCTTCCACCTGTTTGTATATCCAGGGCCCAGCTTATGATAGACACTCAGTACAAATTTATTGATAATTATTACAGGAAACTGAAGTAATTTGAAGATCATTGTATTTTTAGTAATTGAAAAAAGACTTCATGAATTATGAGTTATGATCTGGAAAGAATTATAAGAATTCAGTAAGCTGAAAAGAAAAGCAGAAAAGAAAAGAAAAGGGCATTCTAGTAGGGAAGGGTATGGTAGAGTGTGATGGAATGCTGTGTTAAAAAGGACAATGGCAGCAATGTGTAAAATGTACATGGTGCATGGCAGATGACTGACTTATTTGATCTTGGACATGATGGAGTAGTGATGAAGCTGATTTTATCAGTTGGTTGAAGACTAAATATCTTATGAATATTTTTGGATATCAGAATTGATCTGAGACACAGTAGAAACAATGACAGATTCTTTCACAGGAAAATATCATAAGAATATTCACATTTTAAGAATTAAGCAGTGGAGTGCATAATTAGTAAAATTTGAAAAAGAAAAACTAGAGGTAAGAAGACCTATTAGGAGATGATTAAAGTCCAGAGGGGAGGTCTTAAAAAGGGCAGCTTCTCTTCAAAGGCCTGAGATTAGAAGTGCAGTCTCAGTCTCTTTTTGAGGGTATAATAACAGCTTCAAAAGGCATCCTAGTTGCTTCCTAAATTCCCTAAGGAATTCTAAGCATTTTTCTAAACACTCAAAATCACTTAGGAAGAATTATTCTTTCTAAATATGGGAAAATAAATTGCAAAGTGGGAAAAAAATAACTGGTTAGTGTATATAGATTTTTAATCCACCTTTATTTTTAAAAGTTATTCACTTGCTGGAGTTTTTGTTTAGTGGCACCATACTGTAACATTTTACTTTACAGGGCTGCATTTTTTATGATCTGAAGATTTTTGAAAGGATTTTGTATCCTTTATTACATGATACATTCTATCTCCCTTATTAATCTGTTGTCCCTTGAAGTAAGATAATCGATGTATATTTTTCCACCTTCTACATTGTTGAAAGTGATGACTTTAGTTAATACTATAGCAATTCAATGAAACCTAACAGCATGAAATCTTCCAAAATTCTCATGAAAGGTACTGACAATACCTTGCAATAAATGAATGAAAACTTATTGATTGGCTTATATGTGCTAAACATTCTGAAACTCACCAATTATATAATGTTGAATGAAACAGACATAATTCATGCACTCATGAAATCCACCATCTAGCTCATAAGACTGATAACAAACACATAAACAGATAAATAAATAAGAAATTCCAGTCGGGCATGGTGCCTCGTGCCTGTAATCCCAGTACTTTGGGAGGCTGCTGCAGGCAGATTGCTTGAGCCTAGGAGTCCAAGACCAGCCTGGGCAACATGGCAAAACCTTATTGCAAACAAAAAGCAAACAAACAAACCCATCCCCCACCAAAGAAGCCCCCAAGATTAGCCAGGCATGGTGGCATGCTTCTACAGTCCTAGCTACTAGGGTGGCTGAGGTGGGAGGATCACTCGAGCCTGGGAGGTGGACGTTGCAATGAGCTGGGATTGTGCTCTGCACTTCAGCCTGGGTGACAGAGCAAGATCCTGTTTCAAAAAAAAAAAAAAAAATTCTGATGAGTTATAAAGGAATTAAACAAAATGTTGAGGCAGAGAAGTGAGCATGTGGTAAAGTGTGAGAGGAGTTGAACCTATTCAAGAGCATGGTCACCTCCAAGGAAGAGATATTTAGGTGGAAACTGAAAGATAAAATGGAACTAGTCTTGTAAGTTTCAGGGGAGAAGCATTTTAGTAAAAGATACAGCATATGCAAAAATATAAAGTTGGTGTATCTCTCAAGGCACACTTAAAGATAGTAGGTAAAGAATTACATCAAATATTTAAAGACAGAAGGACTTACAAAGGTATGGGCAGAATTAAGAACAATCAACAAGCGATGGTGAAATACCTTAGTTAACCTCCTGCAGAGAATAATGTTAAAGTCTGAAGAAGATATTAAAAAAAAAACTACTTAAAGGTACTAGAGAGCAACCAAATATAGGTAGAAATGGAAGAAAAGTGGACCTCTGAAAGAAGGAAATAACACTAAATATTTCTTATTTTACCACTGTTTGCTGGGTGGATGGCTTCAATCACAGAAAGAGCATGCTGGCTAAGACTCAGAATGCTGTAGTTTTATAGACTTGAAGTCCCAGAGGACAGGGTTCAGAGCTAGCATAGTAGGTGGAAAGTGAAGGAAGTAATCTTGACAATGAAGGAACCAAAGAGGTGGAGAATTAAACACTCTGTGTAAACGTTGCCCAAATTTCTGGCTAACCCTTTAAACTGCGAATGCATAGGCAGGTTCTACGGAGCCCATCTAAGACTAAAATAACAGAACAGAAATCTCAGCTGTTGCCCAGCACAGGGACGATAACATTTAGACTTTGAATTCAGAGAAGTTAACTGCCCACTAAAACAAACAAATAAAATATTCAACAATCTTTGGAGGAATATCACAGAATCCAGAGTCTCTACAAGATATTATGCAAAATCCCACACTCCTATACATATAAAAAAGCAGGAAACATGACCTATACTCAAGACAACAAACAGTAAAGACTGACACAAATTACCTGGGTGTTGAAATTAGCAAACAAGATTTTGAAGTAGCTATGAAAGCCATGCTCAAGAATACAAAGGAAAATATGCTTGTGATAGATAAGCAAAACTGAAGAAGAATAAACAGAGGAACAACAAAAAATGGAACAAATGGTAAAATTATATATATATATAGATCTACTATCAATATTTATATTTAATATAAATGGACTTAATCCTCCAAATAAAAAGGAGACTATATGTTATTTATAATAGATAAATTTTTAATATAGTGGTACAGATAGGTTAACAATGCTAAAGTAGAATTCAAGAAAAGAGTTTTACCAGTAGGACCTGTATGTGTATTTATTTATATAATTATATTTATGTTTATATTTATTATGAGAAATTGGCTTATTCAATTTTGGGAGCAGGTTAATCAAATGCAAAGTCTGTAGAGGTTGCAGTCAGGAAGGGAAGATAATGAACAAGTTCAAATCTTACCAGCATGGAATAAGGCTTGTTGTCCATAGCTAATCTAGAAGAAAATATCCATGGGAAACAATAATAACTGCAGACCCAGTGGCTGTCTGAAATTTCCCCCTTAGGGAAGACCTAAGTTCTCTGTTAAAAGCCTTCCAACTGATTAAGTCAGGCCCACCTCAAATGAATACTCTCCATTTTGATTAATTTAAGATTAGCTAAGTAGACATTTTAGTTCCATCTGTAAAATCCCTTCATAGTAGCACCTACATCACTGTCTGACTGAAAAAGTCGAAGATGTATATATGCTTTAAAATATATTCTTCCTCCCTTGTAGTCTCCAACTCTAGCCAAGAAATATCCTTGTAGTCCACACTTCCAACTGGAAATCTACTGGAAAGAGAAGTCTTATGACTGTAGCTAAGCCTAATCAAGTTAACATATCAAAAGCTATCAGGCCAGCAATAAGAACAAATATTTCATAGTGATAAAAAGTTAATTCATAGAAATATATAATAGTTATAAGTGTGTATGTGTCTAATAAGAGTTTCAAAGTACAATGAGCAAAAGTTTACAGAATTAAAGGAAGATACAGATAATTCCACAATAATTGTTGAAGATTTTAATGCTCCTCTCTCAACAATTGATAGAACAATTGGTAAAAAATCAGCAAGGTCATAGATAATATAAACACTAGCCACTTCCTTGACCTACTTGATATTTATAGACCATTAAACCAAATAGCTTGCACCTAAGTTTAGAAACAAAATAAATATTTTCACCCTCAACCTTCCCATTGAAAACTGCATGAAGTTCTCACCAGTGTGACATGGCAAGAAAATAAAATAAAGGACATAATTATTTGAAAAAAGGTAAAAAATATATGCATTTACAGATGCCCTTACTATTTACTTAAGAAAAATTCGAGGTATGTACAAAACAAGTATTAGAACTAAAAGTAAATGTAGCAAGATTATAGGATACAATGTCAACATACAATTATCATTAGTATTTTCATATACCAGTAGCAATCAGAAGGTGAAATTTTTTAAAAGTTTCTATTAAGATAGTGTAGACAAAACATAAAATACTTAGAAATAATTTAGCAAAATGTGCAAATCCTCTTTATTGAAAGTTATACAT